>NC_000002.12:23115815-23267331 GCF_000001405.40 Homo sapiens | reverse complement strand
ACAATAACATATCACAACACACCCACTACAATGGCTAAAAATACAAAAGACTGACTACTAATTGTCAAGTATGTGGAGCAATTGGAATTCTTGTAATGCTTCGTAAGAATGTGGAAGGATACAACCATTTTGGAAAAAATTGGCAGTTTTAAAAATAAGTTAAATCTGGCCGGGCGCGGTGGCTCACGCCTGTAATCCCAGCACTTTGGGAGGCCGAGGTGGGCGGATCACGAGGTCAGGAGATCGAGACCATCGTGGCGAACACGGTGAAACCCCGTCTCTACTAAAAATACAAAAAAATTAGCCGGGCGTGGTGGCGGGCGCCTGTAGTCCCAGCTACTCAGGAGGCTGAGGCAGGAGAATGGCGTGAACCTGGGGGAGCGGAGCTTGCAGTGAGCGGAGATTGTGCCACTGCACTCCAGCAAGTTAAATGTACATCTACCATGCAGCCCGTCATTCCACTTCTAGATATTTACCCAAGAGAAAGGAAAGTACACATCAACACAGACTTGTACAGAAATGTCTATAGCAGCTTTATTTGTTATAGCTTAAGTCTAGAAACAACCCAAATGTCCATCAGCAAATGAATAGCTAAAGAAATTGCAATTTACCCATGTGGTAGAATAATACTCAATAAAAAAGGAATAAATTATTAGTACATGCACAACAGGGATGAATCTCAAAATGATTTTCCAGAGTGGAAGAATCCAGACAGAATGGGAACATGCTATATTTTTCCATATATATGAAATTCTTGAAAATGAAAACTAATTTAAGGTGACAGAAAGAATATCAGTGAATGACTGGAGTTGAGGAAAGAGTGAGGTAAGCATGGATTACACAAGGGCATAATCTTGATTGTGGTAGTGATTCCCCATGTGCATATGTATGTCAAAAGTTATCAAATTGTAACTTTAAATGTGTCCTGTTTACTGTATATTAATTGAACCACAATAAAGCTGTAAAAGAAGCCAGTAAATCAAAAACAAAAATACCTGAACCCAAACTGAGAAAACTAAACAGAAAAATAGACAAATCAATAGTCATAAATTGGGATTTTAGCATCCATAGCTTCATCACTGATGGAATAAAAAAGGCAAAAAGTCATTAAGGATATAGAATGCTTGAACAACAGTGTTATCCAAATTGACCTAGTTGAGTTGTAGAAAATCCCTCCAAATTCTTTGAATGAAATGCAAGTGGACTATTCCCTAAGCTGGATCATATTCTGAATTGTAAAACAAGACTCAGTAAATTTCAAAGTTTTGAAATTAAATATATAGAAAATCCCCTAATTTTTGGAAATAAAACTACATTCATAAATAACCAATGGGTCAAAGAAGAAATCAGAAGAGAAATAAGAAAATATTTCAAACAAAATAACAATGAAAATGAAAGTTAACAGTATGTGTGAAATATCTCTAAACCAGTTCTTAAAGGGAAATTTGTACCTTTAAATGCTTATATTATAAATTTATAAATGTTTAAAGATATTAAGATTTAAGGTTATACCTAAGAAGCTAGAAAATGCAGACCTAGTTTACATCAATCTAAGGAGAAAGATGTAAAAGAGATAAAAATAGAAGTCAACAAAATAGAAACAAACAAAACAAAACAAAAAAGACAATCCAAAGGGCTGAACCTGATAAGGACAATGTAAGAAAAGTACAGGCCCATATCCCTATACACAGTGACACAAAAATCATCAGCAAGTCCAGCAAATAGGAAAAGGACCAATTGTTTGGTCCAAGAATGCAAGGTTTGTTTAACATTAGAAAACCAATATCAGCTACCATATCATAAGAGTAAAAAACCCCCACATGATCATCTCAATAGATGCAGAAAATCAACACATTCTTAGTAAAGACTGTGGACAGATTGAAGGTAATTTTGTCAGTCTGATAAAGAGAATTTATGAAAACCTACAGCAGGCATCTACATTAAACATTGAACGTCACACAGTAAAACACTGAATGCTTGCTTTCCTCCACGAAACAAGGCTATCTATCCTCATCATTTCATTTTGGGGGAGGTCCTAGCCAGTACAATAAGGTAAGAAAAAAAACCCAGAAAAGATGAAAAAGGAAGAAGTAGAACTAATTTCTATATGACATGATAATGTATGCAAAGAGTTCTAAGAAATCTATAGGAGAAAAAACCTACTAGAGCGAAGAAGTGAATTTAGCAATTCCGCAGAAGTCAAGTTCAATATGCAAAATTTACTTGTACTTCTATGTTTTAGCAACAAACAATAAAATATCATTTACATAAAATTGAATTAAAAGCAAAATACATGGGAATAAGTTTAAAAGATGGCTAGACTTTTACAGTGACCACTATAGAATATGGAGCAAAGAAATTAAGAATGAATAAATGGAGAGATATGCCATTTTAATACATTGGCAAATTCAATATTATTATGTTCATGCTCCCTAAATTAGTGTATAGATTCAACATAGTCTCAATCAAAATCATACCAGCTTTAAAAAAAAATTTAGCAAGCTGACTTTAACATTGTATGAAAATGCTAATATATAAAATTATATGACATTCTAAGCATTCTATGATGCTTAGGGTAGTTAAAACTTTTTGAAAAAGTTGAACAAAGTTGGAAGACTTATCCTACTTGATATCAAGACTTATAACACTGCATTTTGAAAGCTGTGTGGTAATTTTTAGGGTAGACCAATCAGTGGTACAGATTTTAAGATCTCAAGATAAAGCTACATAAATATAGTCAATTGACTTTCAACAATGATGTCGATGTGTTTTAATGGAGAAAACAAAGTCTTTTTAATAAGCAATGTTGAGACAATTCAGTATGCATATATAAAATTCTCCCCATAAACAAATCCTGACTCATAATCTACACAAAAAATTATTCAAGATATGTACAAAACTAAATGTTCAAGGTAAAACTATAAAGCTCCCAGAAGGAAACTTAGAAGAATATCTTCTTGAACATACAGTAAACAAAATTTTCTTAAAGGACATTAGAAAGAACTACCTATAAGAGAGAAAAAATAGATAAATTGAAAAATTGATAAATTCGTTAAAATTAAAACTATCTGCTCTTCCAAAGCCATTCTCCAGAAAGTTCAAAGGCAAATGTAAGTTTGGTGAAAATATTTGCAAAACAGTTTTGAACAGACCATTTCTGTTTATTGACCAAACATAAAAAGCTCAGCATTATTACTCATCAGAAATGGCAACATACACTAAAACCACAAGGAGATATTTAGACCCACTAGCATGGTTAAAGTGAAAAAGTCTAAGGATGTTGGATAGGATGTTGAGCCTCTGGCATTCTGGCAAAATGGTATAACCACTTTGAAAACTGTTAGGCTATTCCTTATGGAGTTACATGTACAACTACACGATATCCCAGCCAGCCCACTGCTAGGGGTTTATTATCCAAGAGGAATGGCAACGTACAAGAATGTGTACGGTAGATTTATTTTTAAGAGGCAAAAGCTGGAGACAAAAGGAGAATGTATAAATACATTGTGGTATATCCACAGAATATTACTCAACAGTAAAAAACAAATTACTGACATATGCAACAGAATGGATGCATTTTAAAAATATCTTGAAGGAAAGAAACAGAACACATCATTTGTTGCTGTTTACATAAAGATCTAGAAGGGATAGTGGAAAATCAGAGCAATGGCTGCTTCTGGGGTCTGGGGAATTGACTGAAAGAGGTTTGAGGGAAATTCCCCAGGGAGATGGAAATGTTCTATATTTTTTGATTGGGGTAGTGATTACATGGGTTTATACATTTGTGAAAATTGATGAAAATGTATAATTGAAATCTATGTATTATGTATAAATTACACCTCAGTTAAAAACAGTATGAGAGGAAAAAACAAGTAAAATTGCGTTTCCCTGTCTCCCTTGATTGTTGCTGTCTTCAAAGATAACAGTCATTAACCATACCTCATTACTATAGCACGTCTCCAAAGTTGTGTGTATATATAATATGGTAATATAAAATATATAAAATTGTTTAGCTTTTATATTAGGGTTCTATATATATGATATGTATATCATATATTAATAGAAGATATATTCTGTGACTTTAAGTGAAATGATGTATAATGAAATCAATTTTTTTCTAATCAATGTTATAACAGAATAACATTGAATGAAATGACATATTTGAGGACCTGCTTGTGTTGTTTTGCTTAAAGTTGTAGTTTCCAAGAACCTATGGATAATGCTAAGTGAGAACTTATTGTGTGTGTATATATGTATAAAAACTCATATATATGTATGTATATGGAGAGAGAGAGACAGAGACTTATGATAAGGTATTGGCTTATGTGATATGGAGACGGAGATGTCCCATGACTTGCCTTTTGCAAGCTGGAGGCTCAGGAAAGCTGGTGGTGTAATTCAGTTTCGGTATGAAGGCCTGGGAACCGGGGGAGCTAATGGTGTAAATCGTAGTCTGTGGGCAGAAGAAGATGAGATGAGATGTCCCAGCTCAAACAGACAGGCAGGAAGCAAAACCTGAGAGTTGCTCCTTCTTCTGCCTTTTGTTGTATTCAGGCCCTCAGCAGATTGGATTGTGCCCACTCGCAATGGGGAGGGCAGTCAGTGTTACTGAGTACACTGGTTTAAATGCTAGTCAATCTGAAAACAGCTTCCCAGACACCCAGAAATCATATTTAATCAGGGTACCCTGTGCCTAGTTGAGTTGACACATGGAATCAGCCATCACAATTTCCGTCTAACACTGAGTCAGCGCTCACTAGAGGTCCTTTACGATAACTGTATTCATTCTTGAATGGCTCGACTTTGTCATCAAAACTTTCTTCATAAGGGACTAATGGGAGATACATTTCCTGAGTTCTTACGAGTCTGTGAGTGCATGTTTCACACCTTTATACTTGAACCACACCTTGTTGGGCCTGCGATTTTTGGATTACACTTTTTTCCCCTTTCTCAAACTCATAGATGCTGTGCCATTTTATTTCTGGATTTTAATATTTCTATAAAGAAACATGATCCTGGCTTTATTTATCTGCCTTTTAAGTAAATGTTTTTGTGTTTCTTCTTTTCGAATGCTGAAGGAATTCTCTCAACTTTTTGGGTGATCAGTAATTTATGAGGATTCGTCTTGGTTATGCCTATTTTGTATCAAATTTCCTATAATATGGTCTGCTTGGAAGGTTCTTTCCATGTGTAGATTTGATTCTGCCTTAATTTAAGGAAAGTTTTTTTCCCTATTATATCTTTAATTTTTGGTGCCACTTGTTTCCCCACTTGAGGGATACCAATTAGTCTTTGCTCTGTTAATACTATTGGGTTGATATCTATCATCTTCCAATTATTTTAATATATTTGTCCCAGTACACAGGTGTCCAGCTCTCTCTCCTCTGATATTTCAGGACCCAGGGCCTCTGACAGCAGACCTTTTGCATAACCCAGGATTATAAGGTCAGGCCAGGGCATCACCATGTCTGCAGAAGGACCCTGACTCCTACCCCAGGGAACCAGCACAAGCTCTAAGATGAACTTTCCAGCAGCAGCAGCAGCAGCAGCAAAAACTTCACTGTAGGTGGGCCAGGTTTTCCGTTGTCCTCTGTCCTTCCTTTCAACATCCTTTTCCCATACATTCTGTCCACCTTCACTCCAAACACAGATCTCAGAAAAGGATTTGATACTGGTCACCAAGCCTCCTCTCCCAAGTTGGGGCTCTATTTCATTAAGCCCAGATCCTTCTCTGGGTTGCCGCCCTTAGCGGAAGGTATCGGAGATGGAGAGGCTTTCCTGGACCAGTAGGTCCAGGAAACCCACAAGTTGGATGGTCACACTTACTAGTCTGCCTAAGTTCCTCTTAGCCTATTAGTCTGGCATCTCAGCTTCAACCACTGTGGCTCTGATTCCTGCAAAGCACCTGTCCTTGTCATCCTAGAGGGGCCTCCAGGAGGGCTGCTGTGTTTCCTACCTGCCCACTCACCTTGGCACCTGCTCTGAAGGGCACCCAGCTCCTCATGCATCAGGCTTTTTCCTCTCAGGTAGCTCATGTCATGTGGAAGAGTCCTCTCACTTTCAAATGAGCTGTAAGTAGTTGTTGGAAACATCTAATATTTGTGTGAAGCTTGATAAAGTGTTAAATCAGGGGAGGAAACATCCCTAGACAAACTGAGAGCTTTTCTGTTAAGGTGTAATTGCTTTTATCACCTTTATGCAAAAAGTGATCGTTAGCCTAGCTACTTAAATGCACTTTTCCCTCTTCTATTTATTTTAAGAATCACTGGGATTTAAAAATATCCCGCACAATAGTTATTTTCAGCATTGGTGTTATGCATCAAGAGGTAGAAAGATGGTGGGCTTGGATAGTCACGTTTCCTCCTCTTCTCATATTGAAACACCATCTCCTGCATAGAGCCCCTCCCATCTCCTGTCAATCCCAGCCACTGCTGCAGTCTTATGCTTACAGTGGACATTGGCTTTCTCATACACTCAGCCCCATCAGCCTTGCCAGGGAGTGAGCTGTTCACATGCATGCCTCTTCATCCACTCAGCTGATGACGGGTGGACATGTGTGCTTAATTTCATATTTTTATCAATACCCAGAATTATGTGGGGCACAGAGGCGGCCCCAGTGTTTGCTGAATGCTCAATGGCTTTCTAATCATTGGGGAAAAAAGCTACTAGAAATGCTCAGGCTGCTACAGACTTGTTACTTCAACCTAATTCCTGATTTTTTTCTTTCCAAAAACAAAGCTTTGTTTCTGATCAGTGGTTTCAAACATAAAAATCCAAGCCAGTGTGGTCAGTCAGTCAATCTAAACTTCAGCCTGAATATTTCCTCATTTGTGTGGTTGGGTTGTTTGAAACACAGTCCAAAAGGGAATGAAATGATGGTTTTAAGTAAGGTTCTACTGATCCCAATTTGAGAAGGTCTTTCAGACCATTGGGTGACAGAGCCTGGATATTAAGTGTCATTCAAAAGTAACTGGCAAAGAAGATAGATTACTATTTCTTGGTAAACCATAACTTTTCATTCCAAAGCTGTGCCACTTTGAAGTTCTCAGCCCCGATGTCATAGCATTGCACTGCACTGAATAATAATTGTGTTTCTCACAGGACATTACCCATTTTTTTTTTGTCTGACCTTTAAGAGGAACAGCTTTTAATTTTGATCAATGTATTTCCTTTTGAACTTTAAGGAAGGGTTGCTGATTTACTCCTCTTAAGATCTTGACAAAGAGACATCTCTACTCTAGCCCACTAGTTGCCAGAGTGCATCTCGTCTTGGCTATTAATGGAGTGGAGACTTATGGGAACAAGCTGGTCTCTTCATAATTTGTCAAGTGAAGTGTGGGTAGCTGAAAATTTTGTTATGGGCACTATTCTAGGGCAGCTATGAAAGAAGTTAGCAAAAGTCAGTTTTATAAAGTTCTCTTTCATTCAGGCTGAGGAGGATTATTGGTTGTCACTCTTAGAAGAATTTGCTATAATTTCTATGATGCTGTAGCAAATAAAAAAGTGATTTGTAAAATTACTCTTAACTCCCTTGGAAATGAGGGAGAGCTTCATTCCATTTTCTGAAACCGAAATATAGTTTAAGTTAAGAAGCAGCATTAAGAATTGCTGCTATAGCCATTAAAACTATGATGTAGCTGCACATTTATCTAGGTGGAGAGATAGTCACATTATGTTAGTGTAAAAAGTGGGTTGAAAAATAGAATATAAAGCATGATCCTATTTTTGTTTAAGAAAAGTATGTGTATTTGCATACTTTAAGACAAGTATGTGTATTTGCATAGGAAAAGTCTGGAAAAATGTACTGGCATTATCATGAAAAGAAATAAATGAGAAAAAAGGTAAACATACCAATAAAAATGAGCAAAGCATATATATAATTCATAAAAAAGAAATGCAAATACACCAAAATAAGTGAATATTTTAAACTTCATTTTTAATCACAGCAAAAATTTAAAATGACAGTGAGATAGCTTTATATTTGCTTATCAGTTTGGGAAAAATGCTCAATATGAAGAAATACCCAGCGTTAGTGAGACAGAAGGCAAAAGGCATGTTTGTACACAACCTGTGGTAGTATATTTTGGTATACATTTTGAAATATATACATTTATCACAACCTTACTGAGTTATAATTAACAGAAAAACTGGCACTCAGTATACTGTGCACAATGTATACAAGGTGCACACTCTTTGAAGTGTAAAATGAGATAAAATTTGCCATACGTATGCATGCATGAAATCATGACAAAAATCAAGTTACATTTTTGTAACTTTGTCTTGGAAGAATAAAAGTTTGTATTTGTGATGAAATCTAATTTACTTTGTTTTACATTTATAATTTATGCATTTCTGGACGTATTTAAGAAAACTTTTCCCGAGCTGTGGGCACTAATATTTCTTCTAAAAGTTTTGTAGTTTTAGTTCTTACATCTATGTCTATGATCTGTTTGAATTAATTTTTGTTGTTTTTGTTTTTTTGAGATGGAGGCTTGCTCTGTCACCAGGCTGCAGTGCAGTGGTGCGATCTTGGCTCACTGCAACCTCTGCCTCCCGGGTTCAAGTGATTCTCATGCCTCAGACTCCCAGGTAGCTGGGACTATAGGTGTGCATCACCAAGCCCAGCTAATTTTTGTATTTTTAGTAGAGACGGGGTTTCACCGTGTTGGCCAAGCTGGTCTTGTACTCCTGACCTCAAGTGATCCATCTGCCTCAGCCTCCCAAAGTGCTGGGATTATAGGTGTGAGCCCCCATACCTGGCTTGGATTAATTTTTGTATATCCAATGAAGTAAGAGTTGATGTCCTTTTTTGCATATATCTATCAAATTGTTCTGCCTCATTTGTTGAAAAATATTCATTTTCCTATTGAATTGCATTAGAATCTTTGCAGAAAAACAGCTGGCAATATATGTATCTATCCCTGTGCTCTCATTTGTCTAAATTTATCTATTTATATAACTTTCTGTATATTATGCCCACACTATACTATCTTGATTGCTCTAGCTTTATAATCAATATTGAAATTAGACTTCGTCCTCTTTTTAAAGTTGTTTTGGCTATTCCAGATATTTTGCTTTTCCTTACAAACTTTAGAATCAGCTAGTCAATGTCTAGGAAAAGAAGCCTGTCAGGGTTTTGATGGGATTGGGTTGAACATATACATCAATTTGAAAAGAATTGACTTTTTTTTATTGTTTTTTTTGAGATGGAGTCTCGCTCTGTTGCCCAGGCTGGAGTGCAGTGGTGCAATCTTGGCTCACTGCAACCTCTGCCTCCTGGGTTCAAGTGATTCTCCCGCCTCAGCCTCCCGAGTAGGTGGGACCACAGGCACACGCCACCACACCCGGCTAATTTTTGTATTTTTAATAGAGATGGGGTTTCACCATGTTGACTAGGATGATCTCAAACTCCTGACCTCGTGATCAGGCCACCTCGGCCTCCTAAAGTGCTGGGATTATAGGCGTGAGCCACTGTGCCCGGCCGAGAATTGACTTCTTAACAGCATTGTGTCTTCTGTTTCATGAACATGGTTTATATCTCCATTTATTTATGCTTTTTAAATGTCTGTCAGTAATATTTTGTAGTTTTTGGTGTTCAAGTCTTGCGAACTTTTTGTCAAATTTCTCTTTAAGTATTTCATATTTTTTGATGCTGTGATAAATATTTTTTAAAAATTCCTCTTTCTGATTGTTGCTATTATGTAGAAATAAAGTTCACTTTTATTTATTGATCTTGCATCCTGAAACATTTGAAACATTGTTAAATTCATTTACTGGTTCCAGTTGCTTTTTTCTGTAATCCGTAAGGTTTTCTTCATGGATGTCATTTGTCAACACAAAAAGTTGTACTTCTTCCTTTCAAATCTGGATTCCTTGTTCTTGACTGAATTCACTGTTCAAAATCTCCAGTACAATTTTGAATAGAAGTGCTGAAAGCAGACATCCGTTATTTTGTTCCTTAGCTTAGGGCAAGAGCACTCAGTCTTTCACCATTAAGTATGATGTTAGCTGTAGATTTTGAGGAGGTTCCCTTCTATTCCTTTTTTGCATAAGTTTTTGGATGTTTGTTTGCTTTTACAAGTAATAATTCATGTTGGATTTTGTAAAATACTTTCTCTACATTTATTGAGATGGTCATGTTGTTTTTATTTAGTTAATGTGGTGAATTATAATTTCTAATGTTAAACCAGCTTCACAATTTTGGGATAAAGTCCACTTGGTCTTCATGTACTTACTATCTTTTAAATATATTATTGAATTCAGTTTTCTAAAAAATTATGTTTATTAATGTCATAAGGAATATCCATAGTTTTCTCTTTTCTAATGTCTTCACTTGGTTTTGGTAACAAAGTAATTCTGGCCTCTGAAAGACATGAGAAGTATCTTCTGCTCCTCAATTTTCTGAAAGACTTCATGTAGAATTGGTATTATTTCAAATTTAAATATTTGATATGATTCACCTTTGAGTCCGTCTGGTTCTGTGCATTTTTTTGGCAGGGGGCCAAAGATTATTAATTATAAATTCAATTTCTTTAATGAAATAGAGTTATTCAGGATATCTATTTTTGTCTTGAATGAGCTTTGGTGGTTTGTGTCTTAAGGAATTTGTTTATTTCACCTATGTTTTTAACATTTTTATCACAAAGTTGTTCATAATATTCCGTTTTTATTCTTTTAATATCCATTGAATCTGTAATGATATCACTTCTATCATTTCTGATATTGGCAATTCTTCTTTCCTTTTTTCCTGATCAGTTTTGCTAGGGATTGATAAATTTTATTGATTTCCTCAAAGAACTAGATTTTGATTTCATCAATCTTCTCTGTTGATTTTCTATTTCATTGATTTCTACTTTCATCTTTGTTTATTTTTTTCTTTCTGCTTATTGTGATGTTTAATTTTTTCTTCTTTTTCTAGTTTCTTGTGGGGATTATTGATTTGAGAACTTTCTTCAGTTCTAATATAGGCCTTTAGTGCTGTACATTTGTAAGTGATATATTTTCATTTTGGTATTTTCTGGATACTTTCTAATTTTCTTTAAAAAATTTATTCTTTCACCCATTTGCTTTTTGAAAATTTTCCAGATATCTTTTTGTTGTTTGTTTTCAACTTTCTTATATTTTGGTTAGAGAACATACTTTGTATGAATTTAATTGTTTAAAATTTATTGAGACTTGTTTTATGGCCCAAAATATGATATCACATAAATGCATTTATGTGTTCTTGAAAAGAAAGTGCATGTTGTACTTAACTGGAGTGCCATATAAATGTCAATTAGTTTAAATTGAGTGATAGTATTATTAAAGTCTTCTATATTTTTCTTGATATTATGCATACTTTAATCAATTATTGGGAGGGGAATATTTAAATCATCAACATAATTGTGGATTTGTCTATTTCTAATTAACATTTATTAAATTTTTCTTCATACATTTTGAAGCCTAAATTTAGGTTTATTATGTTCGTTTTCTGAATTAACTCTTTTTAAGTAGTAAGCATCTCTTTTTACCCCTAGTAATATTCTTGTCTCTGAAATCTTTGTTTGCTATTAATATAGCCACACCATCTTTGTTTTCATTAGGGTCAGCATGGTATATCTGTTTCCATGCTTTTATTAATAGTTACAATCTATTGTGTCTTTGTATTTACAGTAAACTTCTTGAGTGCTGCATGTAAATGTGTGTTACTTTTCTTCCAATCTTACAATCTCTGCCTTTTCTTGGAATGTTTACATCATTCATATTTAATGTGATTGATATGGTTATCTTTAATTCCACAATCATGCTATTTGTTTTTTCTTTATCCCATCCATTCTTTCTTCAGGGTTTCTTTTTTTTCTTTGCCGTCTTTTTGTCTTCTATCTTTTGGATTAATTTTTTAAAAATATGATTCCATTTTATCTCTGTTTTGACATATTAGCCATAACTCCTTGGTTTTTAGTAGCTGCTTTAGGGTTTATAGAAGGGATAGAGAACCATTATTTGTAAAGAGCCAGATGGTAAGTATTTCAGGCCTTGTAGGCTGTATGTTCTCTATTATAACAGTGAATTCTGCCATTGTAGTGTGGGAGCAGCCATAGACAATAAACAGACATAAATAAATATGTAGATGTAAATAAATAAATGTGTTTAGCTTTTTTTTTTTTTTCTTTGGTTTGAGACGGAGTTTTGCATTGTTGGCTGGGCTGGAGTGCAGTGGCGTGATTTTGGCTCACTACAACATCTGCCTCCCAGGTTCAGGTGATTCTCCTGCCTCAGCCTCCCGAGTAGCTGGGATTACAGGCACCCACCACCATGCCTGGCTAATTTTTTGTATTTTTAGTAG
Organism: Homo sapiens; assembly: GCF_000001405.40. Classification (NCBI taxonomy): domain Eukaryota; kingdom Metazoa; phylum Chordata; class Mammalia; order Primates; family Hominidae; genus Homo; species Homo sapiens. The sequence continues at coordinate 23,255,006 of NC_000002.12, read as the reverse complement.
AGATGGGGTTTCACTATGTTGGCCAGGCTGGTCTTGAACACCTGACCTCGTGATCCACCCACCTTGGCCTCCCAAAGTGCTGGGATTACAGGCATGAGCCACCATGCCCAGCCAATGTGTTTAGCTTCTAATCAAATGTTATTAGAAAGAACAGGTGTCCGGTCATATTTGGCCCATGTACTGTCATTTGCTGATCCATCTTTAATTTTTCACCATCCACTTCCATCTCTCCTTCCTAGTCTTTGTGCTATTATTGTTTTACATTTTACCTCTAAATATGTTATAAATCTCACAATAGAGTGTTATTGTTATTGCCTTAATAGTCAGTTATTTTTAATGAGATATAAAGAGGTTTTTTAAAAGTTTACTTCTAAATTTACCATTTTAGCACGGTCTTTATTCCTTTGTGTAGGCATTGGTTTTTATGCCTAGTATAATTTTCCTTCTGCTTAAAGGACTTTCTTCAACATTTCTTGTACTAAAGTTTTGTTGGTGATGAATTCTTTCAGCTTTTGCTTGTCTTAGAAAATCTTTACTTTGTTTTCATTTTTGAAGAATGTTTTTTCACTGTTTATAGAATTCTAGGTTGACCTACTTTCAGTACTTAAAGATGCTTTAACATTGTCTTCTGGCTTGCCTTTTTCTCAATGAGAAGTCTGCCATTATCCTATGCTTGTTCTTCTGTATATAATGTGTATTCTCTGAATGCTTTCAAAGCTTTCATTTCTTATTGGTTTTAAATAACTTGATAAAGATGGTTTTGGTCTAGTTTTCTTTACTCTTTTTGTGTTTGGTCTTTGTTGATCTTCTTGGATCTATAGGTTTATAGTTTTGTCAATTTGGAAAATTTGGAGGTATTATTTTTCAATTTTTTTTCTGACTCCACTGACCTATATCTTTTCATTTTGTGATTCAACACATATTAGGCTACTTGAAGTTTTATAAAATGAGTTCTCTTCTTTTTTTTTTCAGATTTTTCCCTCTTTGTTTCATTTTGGTTGGTTTCTATTGCTTATTTTCAAGTTCCATAATCGTTTCTTCTGCAATTTCTAATCTCCTGTTAATGCTATCTGGTATTTTTTTTTCATTTCATAAATTGTGTTTTTCATCTGTGGGAGTTCACTTTCAGTCTTATAAACATCTTCCATGGCTCTACTTATGCATAATCTTTCCTATGCCTTCTTGAGCATATGTGATATGGTTAAAGTAATTGTTTTAACATCCTTGGTTGCTAGTTCTATCATTTGTGCCATTTCTGGGTATGTCTTCTTAGTTCATGGGTCCCCCTTATGTGGGTTGTATTCTCCCCATGTCTGATAGTTTTTGATTTGTTGTCAACATTGTTTATTTTACCTTGTTGGGTGCTGTCCATATTTATATTCCTATACAAAATTTAAAGTTCAAGGACACAGTAAAGTTACTTGGAAATGGTTTGCTCATTTAGGCTTTTTAAAAAGCTTTTTCAGTTGGCTCCAGTATAGGCTTTAATCTAGAGCTAATTTTGACCCACAAATAAGGCAAATATCATTCTGATTCTCTACCCAGTGCACCACTAATTATAAAGTTTTCTTCTAGGGCTGGTAGAAACGCAAAGTCTTTCTAAGTTTGTGAGAGTTTCTCGGATTGTTCTTCCTGTTCCTTTTGGACAGTTCTTTCCCTGGCCTTGGGTAGTCTTCTCACATACATGTCTGATCTATACTTGGTTGAAGACTTTGCAGGGGCACTCTACACAACTCCAGAGCTCTTTTTCTGTGTAGTTCTTTCCTCTCCAGTACTGTGTCCTATAAATTTTAGTTTCTTTGGTCTTCCTGGACCAAGCTTTGTTTACCAACTTTGTTTCTTCAGCTCAGGTAGCATGCTGAGCTCTGTCTGGGTTCTTTTTTCTTCTGCTGTCATCTGATAACTCCCCGCAGTAAGCTGGGGTCATCATAGGACTCATCTAATTTATTTTACTTTTCTCAAGGGTCGTTGTCCTGTGCTTCCTATATGCAATATATGAAAATTGTAGTTTTATATATTCTTACAGATTGTTTGTTTCTGGTGGTAGGGTAAATCTAGTTCCTGTTAATCCATCTTGATTAGAAGCATTCCAATCCAAGTACATATTTTTGGTCTGCAATTTAGAAATGCATTAAAAAAACTTTAATGTGGACAGATTACCCTAATAATATAATCTTAGATGTACTGAAAGATAAGATATAGGTATAATGATGATGAGAATAATAGTTGCTTTTTAGGTTCCTATCATGCAGTGGGAACTTTGTTAAGTGTTTTGCATGATATGTCTGAATAAAGTGTCTAAAATAATCAATGTTGTGTGTTAGGTGCTATTTCCACCGCTTTTTTTTTTTTTTTTTTTTTGAGACAGAGTCTCACCCTGTCACCCAGGCTGGAGTGCAATGGCGCTATCTTTGCTCACTGCAACCACCGCCTCCCGGGTTCAAGCGATTCTCCTGCCTCAGCCTCCTGAGTAGCTGGGATTATAGGCATGCACCTCCACACCCAGCTAATTTTTGTATTTTTGGTAGAGACGGGGTTTCACCATGTTGGCCAGGCTGGTCTCGAACTCCTGACCTCGTGATCCACCTGCCTCAGCCTCCCAAAGTGCTGGGATTACAGGCGTAAGCCACCACGCCTAGCCCCCTATTTTCTTTTTTAGAGATGAGGTCTCACTGTGTTGTCTAGGCTGGAGTGCAGTGGCTATTCACAGGTGAGATCATGGCACACTACAGCTTTAAACTCCTGGACTCAAGTGATCCTCTCCCCTCTGCCTCTAGAATAGCTAGGACTACAGGCATACACCACTGTCACTGACACACTTCTGTTTTTTAAAGTAGGAAACTGAGTTTATAGAGTTTATGCAATTCACCTAACAAACAGTGGAGACAAAACTTGGACCTTGACACTCATATTCTAGAATCCACATTCCCAATCACAAAATTTGAAATATTGTTTATATCATTTAGAGACATCTTAAAATTCCAGCAATAGAGGAATTAGTTAACTAGTTTACATTTATGTATAAAATGTATGCAAGCATTTAAAAATGATGTTGTAGAAAAATATTTGAAAAACACTTTTAAGATAAATAGTACAATAACACTGGTCATCCCGAGTGATGAAATCATGGATAATCTTAATCTTCTTCTTTTTTCCTGCCTTATAGTTTTCAGGTTTCTTGACTTGGCTCAGAAAGAAAAGAAACTTGTATACAAAAGGGATTGCAGTCCTGGGTGCTTCTATGTACGGTAGCCATGAACAAGTTATAGAAGCTGGGCTTTTGGGCTACATATCTGGTGTTTGTAGGTTTCTTTTTTTCTTTTCCATCTTTCCACATTTACTCTATCCTTTGTGGTCCAGCTTATGTTCAAACTCTTTTGAGCGATCTTCTCTGGTTATACCCACCACCATCTTTCTGAGCTCCTGCAGCACACAGTAGCCTGGATAGTATCACTTCAGCCAGTGAAATGATGGTCCGTGGGTGATGTTTCTCTCTTTCAAGTCTGGTTATGAACTTCTGGAGGGCAGTGCCAGATTCTACATGATCACGTTCCTCATTCTGTGGCCGGGGCCATGTTGAGCACAGATAGTAATAACAAGATGTCATGTGAGTGTAGGATCACACAGCAAAATAATTGCTTCCTTAGGTATTGGCTCATTCATCAGCAAACCCTGAGCAGTGGTGACGGTCGTGGGGAGAGCAGGTCTATTATCTCTTTCACAGGGAAGTGTGTGGAGGCCGATGCTGGATAGGCAGCTTCCTTGAATACAAGAGCCAGCAAATGTCACAGCAGGTCTTAGAATATAGGTAACCCAAGGGCTAGCCATGGTTCCTCTGTCCTGTCGAAGACTAGGGGAGTAGTTGCAAGCCCCAATTCCTTGGCCTGAGCTTGCTTGTTCCTCCTTTCCCCTTGTTGATTCAGCCTCTGGCCACAGCTGCCTCGACTGTTCCCTCTCCGGCTTAAAGGTGTGCACATGACTCTGGAGGCCAGTGGTGCTGCCCCATGGGTTTATTTGCCCAGTGGGTCAGAAGACACAAGTGTGCACCTGCTCTTGAAAAACAGGCCCGGCCTCTATCATTGGCTCATCATCTCCAGGCTCCAGGAAGTACATTCTCAATGTCCCTCTGCGATTGCTCGGATACTGACTTGAATGCCATGGGCCTAGATAGCTGGTTTCCAAGTCAGAAGGGATGTGCAGCTTCCCTGAGCAGGGGGAAGCATGCTTTCCTCTCCTAAGAGAATAAAGAGCTTTTATATTGGGAGTTCCTTCCTGAACTCCCCACTGTTAACCCCACATACTATCCAATGTGGCACACATTGACCTTGGAACTTGCAGACTTCAGAGCTTAAGTGGATGCTTTTTTGAGTCCTGGGAGAAATTGGCTACTGATTGGGAACAGAACAGCCTGCCCCGACACTCATCCTGGCAGACTGGACAGGCTGGCAGCAGACTGGACAGGCTGGCAGCAGACTAGGCAAGACACTGGAGCCTTGGCCAAAGAGGTGGTTTAGCCAGAAGCAGTCGTTTTAATTTCAGGGTGAATTTTACTGGCTACTCACCCATTTTGCCTTTTCCAAACTCAGCATGTGGGAGGCCACACTCATTCTCCCCTCCTCCAGGAACTTTAGCTCCCTGGTCTTTGATCTGTTCAGAAGCACCTACTTCCCGCTTTTCCCCATTTTTTACCACCCCCAACACAGAGCCTACTCTCCTCTGTCTCTGTATTGCCAAGAGTTCTTCTGGCTCTTAAGACTTTTCTCCACTGTTCCTTTTACTTCACAGATTCAAGTTTTACACAGTCTTGGCAGCGTAGCTCAAATTCCTGCTTCTTCCAGGAAGCCTTCCTGATAACTTCTGCCCCATTAGTCTTTTCCCTTCCAGAGAACTCATTTGGGGATGCTATTATATTTGGTTGTCACTTTATCATTACGCTGCTTCCTTCTCTCATTTCTGCATGGTCAGGTAGCACATATCTAAGGAAACTGTGAACTACTCAAGGTCAGGAGTGTTCCCTGCAACTCAGCACAGGGCACTCACTCATTACTGGACGGATTGAATTTAAAGGTATTTTGGAATCCCCTTGCTTTGGTTATAGCATGTCTGATACTGCAATAGTTCAGATGAGAGACAATGAGAATTCTGGCCATGGAGTAGAGAAGAAGGCTTTGATGGGTTAGAATACATAGTTCTTTGAGGTCATGGTTATTGGAGAACAGAGGAGGGAAAAGTCTGAATTATCCAGGTTTTGGTTTGAGTAACTAGGAGAATAGTGACACTTTTCATTGAGCTAGAGAATGTAGGAGTGAGTGTGTATGTGTTGCATAAGTGTGTGTGTGGGTAGGGGATGAGGAGACAATGCATTCCATTTTGGATAGGTTACCTTGTAAGTACACATTGACCAAACCCTCCCTTGGGCCAGGACAGGCGTGGTTCAGTCTCCAGCCAAGGCGGTTGTGGACAGAGAGTTGGTCCTCTGGGACTCCAGGTTCTTCTGTGAGTGAGCCAGGAGAAGAAAGAGCCAGAGCTGTGAGTCCAGGCCAAAGTCCTTAGTAATGCTGAGAGTCAAGTTAGGAAAATCAATGCAGTATGAGTTCCCTGGCATCCCTCCGAATCCCCATGCGGGTCAACTTTGGCAGGCTGGTCACGGGCTGCTGGCCTCTGATATATGAAAGGATGGCTTTTTCTTTGAGACAATCAGCCAGATTAGTTTAAATCTTATTAAAAGGTGAAATATACTTAGGAAAATAAATGTCATTGGATTTTACAGTGTTTTAAGAACATGCGCCATAAAAAGTGCCCCAAAACTTTTTATTCTGGTATGTTCTATCTTGGATGAAATATAGGACTTTTAATGAAGAGTTAGTTGAGTCACCATTTCTTTGAGTCTAATGATTAAAATTCAAACAACTCAGCAATCATTTCTCTTACCTCAATCTAATTTCATATTGAAGAAGACAATGTTATCTGGAGGGAAAGCAAAAAATACATAATTTAAATTTAATAGGGGATGGGAATTTGATGATGAGAAGGACGTTTCCAGGGTGTAGGTCTAGAGCAGCTTATGTTTTCTTCTGGGCTAGGCCCAGGCCTGTCTGAGGATAGGGGAGGGAGGAGTTCAGATCAATGATACCCTAGGCAGGGAAGCTGGTGCCATGCCCATGGTATCAAAGGTACTGCCCATGGAATTCCTATGACCTCCACAAAAATGAAACTGCTCTGTACTCACTCCTAGATTCCTCTGGCACACTGTAAATCACCATCCTGGATTTTTTCAGCCTTGTGAGGAAAAAGCCCCTGAGATGTGGGGATATCACCATCCACTGTCCTAACCATCCCTCAGATACAAAAGCCAAAGGCACAAGGGTATTGATGACAGTCTTATTTAGAAGACCATAAAGCAATGAACGAGCAAGATACCCAGCCCTGGGAAACCATAACCATATTCTGGTTAGATTACTCCACGGAGTGCTACATGTTACAGGGAGAGAAGGCCAAGCCCTAGAGGGAAGGCCATCCTGCCCTTGACATCACACAACTTGATGCGGTCACTGTTGTTCTTCTCTGTGTGCCCTGAAACTCAGTGACGTCTTAATGCCCAGAGGTGGCCAGGTCCTCAGGGGTGAAGACACTGACTTTGCCCATGTGACACTTTTGTGTGAGTATAGGCCAGATCACATATTTGCAGTGGCAAACTCTCAGATGGTGACTGCAGTGCATGAGGGCTGAGGTGGATACTTCATCTGGGTCCTGGAGGAGTCTGTTGAACTGTTCCCAGCTCATAGAGGAAGGCCCCTCCCTGGTGGCCAGATGTCCATGTCCCCAGATGCCATGCCTCTCTCCCACAGGCACTGATCTGCATTCTGGATCTTTGAAGTTCCTGAGGCTACCCAGTTATGTTGGGGTCTCCAGCATCTCAGGCTCCATTCAACAAATGTGACCATGGCTTCCTTCCATGGCAGAATTAGCCCTTCCCTGGTAAAATGACTCATTAATTTTATACCTACAAGTCCCTTTTATTTACAAATTTAGGGATAACCTGACCTTTTCACCTTACACTAAGAAGATTATAAAAATGAAGAGACCATTATGACAGAACAGTAAATACTTGGAAAAAATACCAAACGTAATACCATAGAAAAAAGGATATACAATTTACATAGAACCTTCTTATAGCTGTAAAAAATGTGGATGTGAAGATAAAGAGGGCCAGAGATGATGGAGAAATGTAAATTTGACATGAGTAGATAGTGGGATTTGGGGTGTCATAATTTTTCCCTGACATCATAAATACGTTTTTATCATAATGAACAAAAGATACCTTGACCTTCAGATCCATGAGCTCCAACTAGCCCTAAGAGAGCAATGAGTTCCTTGGGTTACAAGAGGCTGGATCTGGCTCCTGGCCAGTGGAGACCTCTCCTAGGATTCCAGTCTCTGTCATCAAAAGTCATTACTTTTTGTACAAATACAGCACCCCTGCCCTGCCCAGCCCTCCCTGGAAGCATTGCAGGATTCCTGGGAGCACAGTTTGCTAACTCCAGCCCTGGGAACTCTACAGACTCGGAGGTCAGTGCCTGGAGGAGAGGTCAGTGATTTCTGTTTCAGGCAGATTCTCAGGCTTGAGCTCCTCAGAAAAAGAGATCACCATGGGGAAGTGACTGGGGGCTTTTCAGCTCCCAGCTTGAGAAGGAAAAACTACGTTTTCGTTGAGTCCCCACCTATATTTTAAATCTCTTTTTCTTTTTTTCTGATGGACACTTCTGCTGTTTAGCTTTCTCTGCCTCTTGCTCTCTCTCCAAACAAATAAACCTTTTATTGACTTACTTGATCAAGTGAGATAATGTCCATGATCGTGTTTTGTAAAATGCAGAGGGCTGTACAATGTAGAGGGTTATGTTTATTTTGCCAGCACCTATTTTGAAGGACCTAACAAAGGCATTAGTTTATAAAACTGTTAACACCATAGAATTCTAACATGGGTCTGATTATCAAGGGAGGTGGGAAGTTAATTGAGCAAAGCGGCGAGCAGACTCGTGTTGAACAATCACTTTGGCACATTAGAGGTTTGAGCATATATTGATTAAGTGGGTGATTGGCATTGGGGCTGGAGTAGGGGTGGAAGACGTCATGGTGAAAAGTCATAAGACAGGGACTGGAGCAGACACCTGGCTCCTGCTTGGTACTCACTGAGTGGGACCCTCAGCTCGTCTTTAAACTCTTTTTTTTTTTCTTTTTTTGAGACAGGATCTGGCTCTGTCACCCAGGCTAGAGTGCAGTTCTGTGATATTAGTTCACTACAGCCTCAACCTTCTGGGCTCAAATGATCCTCCTACCTCAGCCTCCCAAGTAGCTGGGACTATAGGCATGCACCACCATGCCCAGCTAATTTTTTTTTTTTTTGGAGATACGGGGTTTTGCCATGTTGCCCAGGCTGGTCTTGAACTCCTGGGCTCAAGCAATCCTCCTGCATTGGCCTCCCAAAGTGCTGGGATTATAGGCATGAGCCACTGTGACTGGCATAAACTCTTACACGTTAGTGTCCTCATTTATGAAATGACAGGAGTTGACTGGAGTGATCACCAAAGGCAATTGTAATATTACAGGTTGTAATATTTAAGACTCACAAAATCTTAATGGAGATATTTATTTCTCCTGTTCTAATTTTTCATCACAGCAAGTCACATGTTGCTTTAGTACTAAAATAGGCACAACTTAGAATTGGGAGTCTAGGTGAAGTGCTGGGTGGTGAGGTGTCTGATATTTGTGGGTTCTCTTTTCTGTTGAAAGGTTCTGCTTTCTAAATGAAAGTTTCAAAAGTAGATGCTAGACTCTGGATTAGGTATTCACAGCATACAGAGAAGTTTATATTCCATGCAGGTGGGACGAACAACCCAACATGAAAGATGGAAGAGGTCAAAGACAAGAACACGCTTTAGTGATCCCAGCCAGGGCCCAAGTTTCTGCTGGGAGAAAGTTTGGCCTCTTAGAAGGCACGTATGGCCTCAACCCATAAAAACGATCACAGGAATCTAATTCAAGTACTTTTCGTGGGTCTGAACATATGATGTCTCCTCACATGAAGAGATACCCTAGAGGAGAAAAACCAGGATGAGGTTCTTTATTTTAATGCATTGTAGGTCCTCTGCTAAAGAAAGCCAAAGTTATGGGGTTGCTTAAACTTAAACTGTGGTTAGGAATTACCCGCAGATCAGAACATTTACTCATGATTCAAATCCCCTTGTGTCCTGCTATGGTAACTGAAATGGGCTTTGCCGATTATAGCTGCATTCTGATATGTTTCATTGCATTTCATTATAAGGCCACGGCTGCGCTTTATTTCTGATATTATGTATAATAAAATAGTGAAAAATTACATATAATCTGATTTCATGCATCCATAAAGTGTTAGGTGAATGAGTTGGTATGCACATATGTACACACAAATATACAGGGCAAGTATAAACACATAAAAAGTGGGAAAAATTTATCACCAAGAAACAAGGTTAAAGCTTTTATTTATGCTGTATAGTAGGTTTACAAATTTCAGGTTGCCCCTCTTAACAGCCATTGTTGACCATTGCAGGGCTGGGTCATTGGCTGAAGCTACATATCCCTTGACCAGGTTCATGTTTGCTTATGGCATCCAGGAAGGGCCAAGTGTGTCTAAAGCTGAGAGGGTCTGGATAAGGCCCATCTTTCAGAAAGCAGGCTCAACTTGAGACACCCACATAATGTCCAGAGCCCAAATCACAGCATCGTTAATATCTGTTGCCAGCTTTGCATTCAAAAAGATTAAGCTTCATTCAAAGATCATTGAGAACTAGCTATGACAGCAGATAGAGAAGATTTTAAACAAATGCAAGTCACGGCCCTTGTCCTAAGGAATGTATTGTTTGTGAATTCTGGAGGTTGCAGCTGACTTTAAAACATTTTACATAGTTTTAGTAAAGACTTAGTAGAGCAATAAATCCTGCTGAGGGTAGAGGGGAAGGGAGAGGAGAGAAAGACTGGGAAACCAATGATCTGAAAGACCAAACTGTTGCTGGGAGAAGGTTTGGGAGCATTGTATATTTTGAAAACAGTCTAAAAGTGGGTTATTGAATATCCAATGTAGGGAGAGGAACAAAAGTGATGCAAGAGTACAGATACATTTCTGGTGACATAGTTTAAAAATGTTTGTAATTCAGTCCATTTCTAGACTTTAGTCTCCAATTGTGCTCTGGGATAAAGATGGATGGTGTTGATAGTGGAAATTTGGTCTTGAGCCACTGAGGAATAGGGATCCCAGCCAAAGAGCCTCAAATTGCTACAGAGGCCTCTGATTCCTTTGACTTGTTTTTGGAAAATATCCATATTAGGCGATTTTACTATACAAAAGGATTTTTAAATTTTGTTATTATTTATTTCTAAATAGCCTTGGAAATGCAAGAGTAAAGATAATAAGAGTTTACAGAATATTAGGAAAAAAAAGAAACAGAAAATCCAAATGTTTACGAAGCACCTCCCACACCAGGTGCCACCGTGTGTGTAATCTGGTTCTGTTCTTATAATTATGTGTGTGTGGCATGTATAAGGTATGTATTATTATCTCCTTTTTATAGATTAGTCATTAATTAGGACAGCAGCCAAAATGGAATGAATGGTTGAACAGGTTGAGAACTGAACTGTCAAATATGGTGCCCTGGCTAATTGGAGTGTTGTTAATGGATATTATTTGGTTGATGGGTCCTGCTAAGCTATGCATTGATTGGCTCAGAAGAAACACCTTTGGTAAAAAGGAATTTATCTGAAACAAACATCACAACATTATGTGTTAAATCTCATGTATAAAAATCCAAATATAGAGTACACATGTAATTTTCCCCTTCTTTTTAGGTCTGTTTGATTTTAAAACTGCTGTAACAATCTCAGTCAATTTTAACATGTTGATGATAACAATATCGTCCTGAATTTTTATACAGAGTTTTTCTTCCAAGGACCTTGAAGTGCTAAAAATGTTGTCATCCATATAGGCAAACCTCGGGAATATCTAATTTAGCAATTGTCAGTGATAAATTCTTTTGGTGCCATTCTCCATGTCTTCGAATATATTAGAACACCCTGGAAATAAGGATGTTTATTCTACAGCAATTGACTGCTGGTAGTATGGTTAGTTGGTATAATTCCACTTGTATTTACTGTTTATCTTTTAAATAACTGCTGGGATTAAAAAAAATCCTTCATATTTGCTTTCTATTTCTAAAGTGGTAGGTATTACCTACTTTCTAGTGCTTTCTCCAGGTGGTCAAAGGAAATACTCCTCTCTTTACGTAACTTCATGCTTAGAGCTGCTAAGCGAACTTTCACAAACAAAACTAGAATAATGAGAATAAAAATTGGAATTTTAAAGGCCATAAACACAGAGACGGCTCCTGTGCAAACAGAAAGCAGTGGAAACCATGAGATCATGTGAATGAGCACAGAAGGCCTGTGCCTCCCCGGATCTGCCAAACCCACCCACCCTCACCAACAGCCTGGCCAGAAACCCCTGGGGGGAGACCAGGAGAGAGCGTCCCATGTTTTGTGCCGACTATGAAGTCATTCCATTTCACTGAATGATTGTGAGCATTTCAATCTCTGCTCTTTATTTCAACTTACAATGACTTCATTAGCTAAAACTAAACTTTGTCCACAATAGCAGCATTATGTTTAAGAGTCCATTAAATCCCAGGCAGTGTCATTAGATGAAATGGTGTGGCTAGCAGGATCCGAGGCAGGGTGACAGTGAGTGCCAGGCATCCTGGGCCTCTCAGAATGGGTTCAGGGCCTGACCCACAGTGCCTGTCCAGGTGACTTTCCCACATTGGGGCCACAATGCTCTCATGTCTTTCTTCCTGCTGCACACCCCCTCAAAGACCTAAAACTTCCCTACTCTTCAAGTTCCAACTTCTGTCACTCAATCACAGAGCCATCCCCTGTTCCCTGCTTTTTGCCAGCCCCTAATGATGACAAACCTCCCAGCTATAGTTGGGAAATAGCTATTTGTCTCTGTCTGAGGATGGATCTAGCATCACCCTAGGCAGGATGTGAAGGTAGAGCCCTGTCTGCAGGACATTTCAAGATGGGGCTTTCAGGCAAAGATACAGGAGCAGGAGAAGGTTGGGGGCAGCTCATCTGCAGGAATTCAGCCAGGCCTTACCTCGGGGGGCTGCAATGGTCAGTGGGCTCCCAGACCACTGAGACAACAGCACAGTGTGCTCAGTGTGGGCTTGGTTGGAGCAGCCACCTGGGCTGAGTGATGTCTCCAGGCACACACCGATCCTCTAGTCAGCCCTATGTTCATAATTCCTAAGGGGAGAACCCACCTGCCCTGTGTAGAGGCCCCGACCCACTGTCCCTTTTCCAGGCAGAGCTTGGACCCATCATAAATGTCATGACTAAAAGGCGTGGGAGGGTGGGGATCGTGTACTGTAATATTCAAGAGAATTAGGACATCTGTTTAATTTAGTATTCAAATGGGGATACTTTGGATGTTGATGATCATGCTGGGACCATAGGTGTGAACCTGGGCCATCCTGGGCAAACCAGGTGGGTGGTCACCTGACCCAGAAGCCACCTAGTATGATGCTGGCCCACAGCATTCAGGCCTCTGTCTACCCACGGCCAATGCTGCCCCTGTCCTCTGTCCTGGGTCACTACAACAGAGGAGGAAATGGTGGGAAAGAGGCTTGCAAGATGGGTTCTGGAGTTGACAGATGCAGAAGTGGCCATTGTACACACCCCCAATGTCCCACCTGCTGTCCTTCCAAGGGCCCTGCGCCCTGGAAGTGTTGTGCTGTGCCCTGCAGTGTCCATTGTTCTGGGAGCTCAGGCCAGAGTCTTGTACCCTCAAAGATGCTGGCGAGCCCAGCTGACTCATGGCTCATGAATGCCTGCACTCACGAACACAAGAGAAGGTTACCTCTGCTATTGGCCCATCAAGCCGCTCTCCTGTCTCAAAGGAGCATGTGGCCTTTGCTCCCCCAGGGAACCCCCTAGCTCTGCAGGCTGTCGCTGTTTCCCTGGTATTGCGACAATGCCTGGGGCATTCACGTCTCTAGAGTCATTTTCCAAATGAACAAATTGTGTTTTCTTTTTCGTTGAGTCTGATATTTGAGCCAATCTGTGCAGCAATTTCCTCCCCTCTGTTTTGCTGACCCTGAGCGATCTCTCAGTCCCACCATAATTATGGGCCTCTCCTGCCACTGGGAGTGCGGTGCCTGTTCTATGACAGCAGTGAGTCCGCTGCACAGGGAGAGAAACAGGCTCTGGTTTGGGGGGCTTTGTGTCCCTTGCAGATGTTTGTTATTCACAAAGTCTGCTTCTCAGTGTTGGGTTAGAGAGAATTTCCTGGAGTCACTGGGAAACCGGCCTGGGCAGCATTCAGTGCTTACCTGTCTTCTCTCTCCTCCAAAGAGAGCAGGGCCGTCCCCAGAGGGTGGCTCGTGCGGGGACGGCAAGTCTCAGGTGGCACATTCCTTATCATTGCTCTCCAGGCCTTACCAGCACTGTGTTTCTGTTCTTGGGCTGTGAAGGAAACAAAGGGAATTGTCATCCTAAAAAGCAGGCCCCTTTCAGGGAGAAAGGAGAGGGTGTGGCTGAGTATGAAAGACCCAGACTGGGCGAGGCTCTCCCAAGCCTCTCATCCCACCTTCTGCTCTGTCTCCAGCCAACACCTGTTTAGCAGCTGTTCTGTTTTTGAGTCCAACCATCTGGCTGCCTGCCCATCCCACCATTCCACCAAGCCCACACATTTATTAAGCATGTAGACTACTAGTGGTTGGAGTGGGCTGTAGTGCTCCTCCTAAAACTCATATGTTGAAGTCCTGACTAACCCCCAGCACCTCAGAATGTGACTGTATTTGGAGATAAGGCTTTTAAAGAGGTAATTAATGTAAAATTACATAATCTAGGTAGGCCCTAATCCAGTATGACAGGCATCTTTATAAGAAGAAGAGATTAGGACAGAGACAAACACAGAGAAAAGACCATGGGAAGACACAGCAGGAAAGTGGCCATGTACAAGTCCAGAAGGGGCTTCAGAATGAAATCAAACCTCCTGACATCTTGACCTTGAACTTCTCCCTCCCGGAATTGGGAGAAAATACATTTCTGTTGTTTAAGCCACCCAGTCAGTGGGATTTTGTTATGGCAGCCACAGCAAGTGAATGCAGTGGTCTCTTCCAGCATCTGGTGACCTGGTGATGAGTGAAGACTTCTCAAGTTGCTTAGCGCCTAGTGGGGGATTCGAACCCTAAAGAAATACAGGCAGGCTTAGGGAGGTGGGCAACTCCCTGGCTTGCTCTTCCTTCTATCATCTGTCAAACAAAGCACGAGGGAAGGGAGGATCTTGCAGGAGCCGTCAGAGTGGAGGCCATAGGACAGACCCAGTAGGGCAGTGTGGCCAGTGACATGGACTGTAGAAGCGCCATCTTGGTGGCTCAACAGTACAGGGTTGAGGAATGGAAGAGCACACATGGTGCCATTCCCAGAGGCTCCTAGAGATATCTAGTGACATACTACGGGAGCTCCTGAAGCAAAATCGATTATAATTGCGAGACGCTAGTTTATACTCATAGGCACAAGAAGCTGGGGCACATAGTCTACGTGAACACTGGTCCATGTTTTTGACCTTACTAGGCAAGTATTCATTATGGAAGGAGTCTTATGCTTTGAATGGGCTGATTCTGCTGTGAGAGCTAGAGGAGCAAGAGACCAGGGCCTGTCATTAGCTGGAAAAGACCTGGCACTGCCCTTGGGGGCACTGGCAGTCAGGAGAGGGGAGGCTCACACATGAGAGGATAGACAGGGTTCCAGACAACGTGTGAAAGCCCCAGTGAGTGGCTCAGACCGTGGCTACTGCTCGAGGAGGGCAGAGCCGAGGAGATCAATGTGGACTAGAGCAGTTCATTTAAGTAGCAATTAGTTATAATTAATCATTTATGTAATTGAGTAGCACTTAATTATTTACTGCCTCGTTCAGTTCCAGCTGCTCTCAGTGTCAGCTCTGTTTCCCCAGCCAGAGCGGAAGCTCCCCGAGAACAGGGCTGGGCTCATTCACTGGTGTCAGATTCTCACGTCTAAGGGCAGTGTTACAAGGAAACAGAAATGATGGGACAATTTTCTTAAGGTCAAAATGGCACGATTCTGCCAAGAAACGACTGTCAAGAGTCAGCCTTCACATAGGTGCAGAATAGTGAAGAGCCAACGCTACTTAGAGGAGTGTGAGGTTATTCAACTCAACAGGGCAGGAAGAGAGGCTCGGGGAAAACAGGCCCTCTTGGGAATGAATGATGGTGAGTCTCGCTCCTGACTTATGCATACATCTGAGGGATGTGTCCGGGGAGCTACCAATATGATGGGGATGTGAGCCTCGCGGATGCTTCCTGAAGGGTCCTAGGTTGAACCTCTGAGCAGAGCCCCACGAGGTTCCCCTGGTTCCTTGAGATTTAACATCGAGGGCTGGAGAGGTCAGGTGAACTCAGAGAACTTGAGCTCATTCAACCTCAGGGCCTGGTGGTGCGCTAATGGTGTTATTCTTTGGGGGATAAGAGCTGCCTCATTGAAGCCAGTTAGGAAATCTAGGATAGTGCAATGAATGACTTCCTGAAAATAAGCATAGAGTGACCCAGGATTTCAGGCTTATGGGAAAAGAAGCACTGCTAAGCTCAAGCCATATGGCAGCCAAATGAGTCTGAAGCTCCTTAGAGGACAGGCTCCCACAGCTAATGCTTAATGGGATCCTGAGCATTGTGGGGGAACCCAAATAGGGTGACCTCCTAAATTCCAGGTTTCCCTGGATGGCTCAGGTCTGGCTCATTTGCAGAGAACGATGGTGCCTCCTCTCTCCATGAGGTCAGTGGTGTTATTACCTGTATTCACAAATGGGGCAGAACACCCCGAGACTTGCAGACTGATTGCTTTCATTAACTTTAATTGGATTCTTTCGCACTTGGAAAGAGAAGTGTAACCAGAGTTTAATTGGAAGAACATCTCAGACCCAGGGTGACACAGGATTGTAAACATTAAAAGTGCTACAGCTGCGTTGGTGGAAAATGTGGAAGTCACTTATGTTGTTTGTAAGAATAGCTCACAGACTTGAGGATGTTTGGAAGTTCTGGGCATGTCAAATTTGGGGATTATTTTTGTGTCTGTTTAGAAAAAAAGAAATGTGAAATCAGATGTTTGCAAGTGAAATTACAGAAGAGACCAAACACATTCCAGCTCAGCATGTGCCGAAAGAAACCTATACAAGCCTGGAGACCCTTTGTGCAAGTCTGTTCTCTGAGTTGGCCTGGGGCAGCATGTGAGGTCTTACAGTTGGATCCCACCTAGCTGACCTTTCTCTCTGCTCTGTTGTTTACAACCATTGTGTCTTTTGCCTGGGATGCTCTTCTCTCATTTTTCTGCATGGCAAATTTCCATTCAACCTTTAAGACCTGCCTTTTTATGTCATTGCTCAGAAGCCTTGGCCAACGGCTCTGGAAGAGTCTGTTGCCCTATGCCCTGTCCTCCTACAGAACTTTGTTCATACAATGAGCACTCAAGCAACCCAGATAAGAAAGAGCAAGGAAGGGAGAGGGAGGGGGTCACAGATTCAGGATTCCAGATAAAAGGAAACACAGTTACAGTTACGTGGGGGAGATGGATGAGCTTTCTAAGGAGTTAAATTGGGACCTTGCTATTCAATATGCATTTATTGAACACGTGAATACATGGATTGATAACCCTAGGACTTTGCCATTTGGCATTAACTGCTGGCCTTGTGGAAGTGGGTATTTGTTCTAAACCTGCCCTGAAACAGCCTGAAGAATCCCAAAGAATGGCTTTAATCATTGCCTGAATTGCTGCCATAGTCCCTGGCTCCTTTCTTGCCTGCCTAGACCTGTGCACCATGTCTGGCACCAACAGAGACCCAGGCAGTATGGCCCACCACACCCTGTCTGCCACTTTGCATTCTTTCCCGGATTTTCCTCTTTCAGAACCTGTCACTCGGTTCCTGCTTCACCCTGTGGTGGTAAGGGCTGAGTCCTCCTGGGTAGCACTGTCTTCAATTTCAGGCAGAAGTGCTAATGGTGAAATCTCCGAGCCCTTTGAGGAGGTTATGGGGCCACTAAATCATTTCGTGAATTATCTAGTCACTGCTTCCAGGTACAAGAGGTTCTGATCTTCCTACACACCCTGGGTTCGATTTTTGAAGAAGCGTCTCAGGCACATTTTCCCACTTAGCCCTCTAGGAACCCACTCTTATCTCCTGGCCCTCCAGCGGGCTGCTCCACTGACCTGTGGCTGGCTGCCTGGCCCAAAGAGGGCTCGACATCCACCTTCCCCAGACGGGATGCGGGCTCCTTCCGGAGGCCAGAGCTTCTTAAGTGTAAAGTGCACACACAGGTCACTGGTGAGGACCTGCTTTCCCCTAGGTTTTAAAAATAGTCTTTTCTAATTCACATGAAGAAATAAGACAGCCTCTCAGAAATTTTAAATAAGTATTTAACTGTTTTGCTGGAGCTCAGACTAGTGGCTCAGATAGCAAAGCCAAGATGAGAAGAGAGGTCCTCTCCTGGGCCGAGGAGGGGAGCTGACATTGACTGCCAGGCCAGGTCTTGTGGGCACAGAGGCCTGGCTTTCTCTGGGCCATTTCGGACTGACAGGGAAAATGCACTGGCAAATGCCAATGGTGAGCACGTAGGCACGAAACTACTGTGCACATGGAAGGTGGCTAGTCCCAACTGAGGTGTGCAGTGCCGTAAAATATACACACTGGGTCTCAAAGACTTAGTACAAAAGAAAGAATAAAATGTGAAGTATCTCAGGCCGGGCGTGGTGGCTTACACCTGTAATCTCAGCGCTTTGGGAAACTGAGGCAGGCGGATCACTTGAAGTCAGGAGTTCAAGACCAGCCTGGCCAACATGGTGAAACCCCATCTCTACTAAAAATACAAAAATTAGCTGGATGTGGTGGTGCGCACCTGTAATCACAGCTACTCAGGAGGCTGAGGCAGGAGAATCACTTGAACTCAGGAGATGGAGGTTGCAGAGAACTGAGATCATGCCACTGCACTCCAGCCTGGGTGACAGAGTAAGACTCTCTCTCAAAAAAAATGAAGAGGAGAAAAGAAAAAGTGAAGCATCTGATTAATAATTTTTCATGTTGATTACATGCTGAAATAATAGCATTTTGAGTATATTTGGTTAAACAAAATATTCCATTAAAATTAATTTTGCCTATTTTATTTTGCTTATCTTAAGGGTAGTTAGTAGAAAATTTAAAATGATACGTGGCTTGGCTTGCATTTGTTTTCTGTCAGATAGTTTCTACAAGATGGTGCTGATCTGATGCACAGAGAAGGGGAGGGGAGATGAAGGCCTGGAGGATGATGGGCTGAACTTGGGCTGGCATCAAATCTTTGAAACCTGAGGGGGCCAGAGACCTGGAAGGATGTGCTGTGTGTCTTCTTAGGATAAACATCTTTTGGCAACTTGTAAGGTAAGGCTTCCCTTGGAATATCAATCCTCTTTCCAGATCTGGGACTGGTATGAATATGAAACACATTTTCAGACAGAGTTAGGCTTTCTTCAGACCCTATTCTGGGAGAAAACTAAGTGAGTTGATCTGTCTATGTGGGGCTTTATTATCTTGACTGTTTTCACCAGATGGGTTTTCCTCACTGAGATCTGCATCTGCAAAAATTCCCAAACTCGCTCTTCAATGCATGCTGGGTATGGTAGGCATGGAATGATTAATTAAGGATATCCATACTACGAAAGAAGAGCTGGGTGGTGTTTGCTGGCCAGTTAACCTAAGCATGAGGACATACAGGTCACTCTATTCACTACACATTTTAGGGTCTGCTTTAATTTCCAATCTCTTTTTAGAGTGAAATTTATGCATCTCTTAGAAACACCTGACCCAGGGAAATCTCTCCCTCAGGGCCTTACTTTATTCTTCGCCTTTTACTGCTATGGTTTTATTTCTACATCATGAACACATTTTCTTTTGTGTTTCATGCTGCTCCATGTTCTGTGCTAGTCTGTGCCAGAAAAGTCATTCTGAGTCCCAAACGTGGTTTCTCGGGGTCATATTTATGTTGTGTTGCTATCAGCTGCATTTGGCTGGCTCCAACGCCACCAGTTCCTACTCAGGCAGAACTAAACGAGTTTCCTTTTCTCCAGGAAGTGACCCTCAAAGTCTTTACCATGGCTCTCTGATGCAGAATTTTAAAATGGCTTTTGTCCCTACTATTTTGCGGGGTCTCTTGTTTTGCTGCAGAAGAACCAGGAGCTCTGCAGTTGGCCCTGAATTCTGATGGAAGGAGGGTAACTTCTATGTTGAGTAGATATGAAAAACCTTCCTCCACTGCACAGAAATCATGAGAGCAACTATCCTTCCCACTCTCCCTGGCAAGTGCATGAAACAGGCAATTGCCACCCAAGATATGGTTTGAGGGAAGTTCTGAGAACCATCCTATTTAAACTGTCTGTGCCATGAGTCATCTGCAACTATCCCAAGTCTAACCGCATAGGCTTTGCTTTTCAGTAGAACTGTGCTTGGCAGAGGTCTAAGCTGGAATAGTCATGAACATCCAAGTGTGAATTAGGTTATTATGTTCTTTTTCTCCTGCTAACGCAGTCTTTAGGAAACTAAACAGTTAAAGGAGCTCTGGATATGTAATCAAAATTTAAAAATAACATGAGGCTGGGCGTATAGCTCCCACCTGTAATTCCAGCACTTTGGGAGGCCGAAGCAGGCAGATCACGAGGTCAGGAGATCGAGACCAACCTGGCTAACTCAGTGAAACCCGTCTCTACTAAAAATACAAAAGCAATTAGCTGGGTGTGGTTGCATGTGCCTGTGGTCCCAGCTACTTGGGATGCTGAGGCAGGAGAATCACTTGAAGCTAGGAGGCGGAGCTTGCAGTGAGCCGAGATCACGCCACTGCACTCCAGCCTGGGTGACAGAGCGAGACTCCATCTCAAACAAAACAAGACAAAACAAAAAAAAACAATATGAAACCATCAAACAAGTATAAGAAGGTCCAGCAAAATTCTCATTTCCCCCATGATGATTACTTGGATGATTTTTTTTTCAGACATGAAGATATTTGTTAAGTTATTTCAAAACATTAATGAATCCATTGCATATTAACATAAATTACATATTTTCATGAAAATATATGTACCCAAAAATGTAATGCAAAGAGTGGCATTGCTTCAAGTCTCTTAATGTGTGCCTTAATGGAAGAAACTGGATTCTCATATCTGCTTGAATTATGTGAAGAAAATCTGGCCTCACACATGTGCTTAAAAGAGAGGAGTTTTTAATAGTCTTTATCAGATAATTGTGGATGGTTTTTGAAGTATTCCAAACAGCAAAGTCTTTCTAACATGTATTTTGGTGCTTCTATTTTGTCAGTGTCTGGATTATGGCTTAGATGGGCTGATGAGTGGCCCATCAGAGCTGTAAGGCGTGCATGGGTGAGGGGTGACGGAGGGAGAAGAGCACTCCAAGGAGGCATTGGGGACTTCATTGCTGGTCCCTGGTGTGAGGTCACTGGCTTCTGCATTTCAGAACTCCTGGGCTATGCTCCAGTCCCTGCACAGTTCCTGGAGGGAAATCTCTTGGTCTGTTTTTCTCCTTCAATGTTCTTTTTAGTGACCCGCATCGGAATACCTGTTATGGACACAGTGCTCACAGAGAGAGCAGAGCGTCAGTCTGCCTTGACCAACACCTTTAGTTTAGAGCAACATTTAAAAAAGTCTGCAGAAGCCAGGCATGGTGTCTCATGCCTGTAACCCCAGTGCTTTGAGGGGCTGAGGTGGGCAGATCACTTGAGGACAGGAATTAGAGACCAGCCTGGCCAACATGGCGCTACCCCATCTCTATTAAAAATACAAAAATTAGCTGGGCATGGTGGCGGGTACCTGTAACCCCAGCTACTCAGGAGGCTGAGGCAGGAGAATAGTTTGAACCTGGGAGGCGGAGATAGCAGTGAACTGAGATAGTGCCATTGCACTCCAGCCTGAGCTGGAGACTCTGTCTCAACAGCAACAAAAAAACCAAAAACCAAAAAAACAAAACAAAAGCCTGCTGAGAGCTGGCGACAGGCTCTTCTCTAGAACCCAGGGGTCCCCTTCAGTCTCTCCTAGTGGCAGAGAAAATCTATCCCAAGGTGTTCCTGTGCATTGCCTGGCATATAGCAGGCACTCAGCACATTTTTGAGGGTTGAATGAATGAATAAATAAATGATTTCATCCATGATGATTTCAAACCAGATAGCATCCTTCTCAACCATGCATTGGGACAACCAGACCTTTTAATATTAGACTACATTTCTTGAAATAATAGTAGATGCCAAATATTTATTTATTTTTTAGATTTTTAGAGCAGCATCCTTCATCCTAAAACCTCAGGGTGTATTTGAATAAAATTACAGATAATTAAAATCTTTTAAGAAACTGTAAAAGCCTTAAAAACAAAAATGATATTTTATGGTTAATAAAGCTAGAATACAGACATGATTATAATGTTATATAATCATGTATGTAATTATTACATAAATAATATATAATCATCCTAATAAACCGTGTAATTTCAGCCACTCCTTCCCCTGAAGCTTGTCTATTTATAGGCCTGACATGGTTGGCATTGGGGAGAAGATAGATTCGGGGGGCTTGAGGATTAAGCACAGTATGTAACTTGGAAGGGCCTGTGCAGTTTACTAATTTAAGAGAATCTGTATCTGAACTGAATAAGAAAAACCAGCTTCAGGCTCAGAGGTGCCCTTACGAGAATTACTTGGACCCTGTAAGCTGGTTTTTCTTGTGTCTCATCCCACCTGCCCTGCTTCCTACTTGGCCTTCATGCCTACTCCTCCCCACCCCTCCTGCCCCTCAACCAAACACACACCAGGAGCTCCTTCCTCTTCTCTGCCTTTTCACATCCAACAAACTTCCCCGGTGACCCACGCTCGCCTTCCCTACCCATCATGCTCTGTGGCAGTGACAGTCCCTGCAGGGTACATCAGCACACTTTCTGGTGACCTCTGATCATTTGCCAATTTTCTACGCATGCTGTTCTTACTTCCATTTAGCCTGAACTCCTCCAAAGGCAGGTACAGGGGATGGCCCTTCTTCTCTGATTCTCAGTCACCCCTCTGTTTGTCCCTGGCTGAGGAGGGTCTGGTGGGCTAAAGAAGGCAGTGGAGGTCATCTTGGGATGGAATCACACCTACTTCAGACATATCGCTAGTGCAGGGCTGGTTAAACACTGATTTCTCCACCTGCCCTCTTTTCCCCACCACGATTTCTGATTCAGTGGGTTCAGGGTTTGACAATTTGCATTATTAACCAATTTCTACGTAAGGCTGGTGAGAGGACCACACTTTAAGCACCACTGGTTTAAAGAAAAATCCTAAGAGCCTGTTGTAGTTTCAAGACTGCGATGGTTTCCAACATGAAAATTATTGTTATCTCCTGTAGTTGTATAGTGCTTTACCAAATGCCTGTCTAATGCTGTGTACAAAAGTCTTGTCTAATTATGAAGAGGTTGAGTGACTTGCTGAAGTCCTCCTAGATGACAAGCAGGGGAGATGGGGTTCAAGGCCAGGCCCCCTCTACCATGCTGGTGCCTCCCAGCACCGGTCCATCACTTCTTTCTCTTTGGATGGGACTTGTTCTGTTGGATTCAGTTTTCCGGCAGCTCTTCATGCAGTGATGCAAGCAATGGAACAGAATGTTTGCTAGCTTCCGGGAGGGTTGATTGCTCCACGGGCCCCTCAGAATCCATCATGATAGACTCTTTGCTTTGATCAATAAAGCGCACTCTTCTCCCACTGGAAAGGAAACCAGGCAATAGTTTGCAAGATGAAGCACCCTGAACTCTGGGCCCATCTCCGGGGCTGTTAGCAGCAGCTTCGATGCCAGGAGACACCAGGCACGCTGAGTTTTGCTATGGCTCACTTGCCCTCATTTAGAGGATCTATCCAGTGATGTCTTTCTGACTTTGGGTTCGGGCAGGCCCAGGGCTACCACTCAAATCACTCACAGGAGTCAAGCAGCAGATTTGTCCTCTAAATCTGAACAGCCTGTGCCCAGGTCCAGGAAGTGGAAATTATCCCAATCTCTATGGGCCTTACGTAATGACGGCATACCTAGAGCAGATGCATAACAACCTCGTTGTCCATTTCAGTATGAACATCACAATCTGTCTTCGGATAAAATCCCTTCTTTCTAACTACTGTTCACTGAAATCTGTAACCATTTTGTAGTGAGATAATCTGTTTTTGACAGATTTCTCTGTACTATTTGAACAGAAACACCATATTTGGCAGATTACTGCTTAGGGATCCCTCTATTATAGCTCATTCTATTGTACCCTCCCCAACTTTTTCACGGAACATTCTGAGGTTCTCGTGAAGCTGCTACGTCATGGTCAGTTGCCTAAGTCATCAGATCCTGGAGCAATCTTCAGGAAGAAAACAGCTGAGACCTATGTTTTATTTCATGGTTCTATTTTGTCTTATTTGGAAAATACCAGTAGTGAGTGTCTCAGAGTCATCTGTATTTTCAGCAATGATTCTCATACTACAGAAAAATATCTAATCAGCAGCTTCTGTGTGAAGAGAGCTTGGGCTGAAAATAATTTGAAATGCACTACCCAGCCTGAGACTTCATTTTGGAGGGGACTGGTGCATTGTTTCCTTGGCGTTGATCATACTGAGGACTCAGAGCTGGCTTTGCTTGTCACCGTCACACTGTCCCATCTTGCCTTTCATGGTGCAATGGATGCGGTGCTGTGCTGGCTTCGATGGTGTCTTTTTTAAGGGTTGCTTATCCTTGGAGCTCTGCAGGGAGCTGATGATCCTTTCACGGGATGCAAATGCCTCTAGCACCAGGGTACACAGGATGGACAATTGATGACCTTGTGGGGGCTGCTGGCCTGCAGAGGGCGAGACTGGGGTTATTCACAGCTTGGTAATTGGCCCAGATCCTGAGATCTTCATCCTGAGCAAATGCAGGCATCGGGGGGGCAGTTACAGATCAATGCAGGGGCACTGAATACACAGACCCCAGAAAAAAAATACCAAAATCAAAAATGGCGGGGAGGAGCCAAGATGGCCGAATAGGAACAGCTCCGGTCTACAGCTCCCAGCGTGAGCGACGCAGAAGACAGGTGATTTCTGCATTTCCATCTGAGGTACCGGGTTCATCTCACTAGGGAGTGCCAGACAGTGGGCGCAGGCCAGTGGGTGCGCACACCGTGCGCAAGCCGAAGCAGGGCGAGGCACTGCCTCACCTGGGAAGCGCAAGGGGTCAGGGAGTTCCCTTTCCGAGTCAAAGAAAGGGGTGACAGACGCACCTGGAAAATCGGGTCACTCCCACCCGAATATTGCGCTTTTCAGACCGGCTTAAAAAACGGCGCACCACGAGACTATATCCCACACCTGGCTCGGAGGGTCCTACGCCCGCCCACGGAGTCTCGCTGATTGCTAGCACAGCAGTCTGAGATCAAACTGCAAGGCGGCAGCGAGGCTGGGGGAGGGGCGCCCGCCATTGCCCAGGCTTGCCTAGGTAAACAAAGCAGCCAGGAAGCTCGAACTGGGTGGAGCCCACCACAGCTCAAGGAGGCCTGCCTGCCTCTGTAGGCTCCACCTCTGGGGGCAGGGCACAGACAAACAAAAAGACAGCAGTAACCTCTGCAGACTTAAGTGTCCCTGTCTGACAGCTTTGAAGAGAGCAGTGGTTCTCCCAGCACGCAGCTGGAGATCTGAGAACGGGCAGACTGCCTCCTCAAGTGGGTCCCTGACCCCTGACCCCCGAGCAGCCTATCTGGGAGGCACCCCCCAGCAGGGGCACACTGACACCTCACACTGCAGGGTATTCCAACAGACCTGCAGCTGAGGGTCCTGTCTGTTAGAAGGAAAACTAACAAACAGAAAGGACATCCACACCGAAAACCCATCTGTACATCACCATCATCAAAGACCAAAAGTAGATAAAACCACAAAGATGGGGAAAAAACAGAACAGAAAAACTGGAAACTCTAAAACGCAGAGCGCCTCTCCTCCTCCAAAGGAACGCAGTTCCTCACCAGCAATGGAACAAAGCTGGATGGAGAATGATTTTGACGAGCTGAGAGAAGAAGGCTTCAGACGATCAAATTACTCTGAGCTACGGGAGGACATTCAAACCAAAGTCAAAGAAGTTGAAAACTTTGAAAAAAATTTAGAAGAATGTATAACTAGAATAACCAATACAGAGAAGTGCTTAAAGGAGTTGATGGAGCTGAAAACCAAGGCTTGAGAACTACGTGAAGAATGCAGAAGCCTCAGGAGCCGATGCGATCAACTGGAAGAAAGGGTATCAGCAATGGAAGATGAAATGAATGAAATGAAGCGAGAAGGGAAGTTTAGAGAAAAAAGAATAAAAAGAAATGAGCAAAGCCTCCAAGAAATATGGGACTATGTGAAAAGACCAAATCTACGTCTGATTGGTGTACCTGAAAGTGATGGGGAGAATGGAACCAAGTTGGAAAACACTCTGCAGGATATTATCCAGGAGAACTTCCCCAATCTAGCAAGGCAGGCCAACGTTCAGATTCAGGAAATACAGAGAACGCCACAAAGATACTCCTCGAGAAGAGCAACTCCAAGACACATAATTGTCAGATTCACCAAAGTTGAAATGAAGGAAAAAATGTTAAGGGCAGCCAGAGAGAAAGGTCGGGTTACCCTCAAAGGGAAGCCCATCAGACTAACAGCGGATCTCTTGGCAGAAACCCTACAAGCCAGAAGAGAGTGGGGGCCAATATTCAACATTCTTAAAGAAAAGAATTTTCAACCCAGAATTTCATATCCAGCCAAACTAAGCTTCATAAGTGAAGGAGAAATAAAATACTTTACAGAGAAGCAAATGCTGAGAGATTTTGTCACCACCAGGCCTGCCCTAAAAGAGCTCCTGAAGGAAGCGCTAAACATGGAAAGGAACAACCGGTACCAGCCACTGCAAAATCATGCCAAAATGTAAAGACCATCGAGACTAGGAAGAAACTGCATCAACTAACGAGCAAAATCACCAGCTAACATCATAATGACAGGATCAAATTCACACATAACAATATTAACTTTAAATGTAAATGGACTAAATTCTCCAATTAAAAGACACAGACTGGCAAGTTGGATAAAGAGTCAAGACCCATCAGTGTGCTGTATTCAGGAAACCCATCTCACGTGCAGAGACACACATAGGCTCAAAATAAAAGGATGGAGGAAGATCTACCAAGCCAATGGAAAACAAAAAAAGGCAGGGGTTGCAATCCTAGTCTCTGATAAAACAGACTTTAAACCAACAAATATCAAAAGAGACAAAGAAGGCCATTACATAATGGTAAAGGGATCAATTCAACAAGAGGAGCTAACTATCCTAAATATATATGCACCCAATACAGGAGCACCCAGATTCATAAAGCAAGTCCTGAGTGACCTACAAAGAGACTTAGACTCCCACACAATAATAATGGGAGACTTTAACACCCCACTGTCAACATTAGACAGATCAACGAGACAGAAAGTCAACAAGGATACCCAGGAATTGAACTCAGCTCTGCACCAAGCGGACCTAATAGACATCTACAGAACTCTCCATGCCAAATCAACAGAACATACATTCTTCTCAGCACCACACCACACCTATTCCAAAATTGACCACATAGTTGGAAGTAAAACTCTCCTCAGCAAATGTAAAAGAACAGAAATTATAACAAACTATCTCTCAGACCACAGTGCAATCAAACTAGAACTCAGGATTAATAATCTCACTCAAAGCCGCTCAACTACATGGAAACTGAACAACCTGCTCCTGAATGACTACTGGGTACATAACGAAATGAAGGCAGAAATAAAGATGTTCTTTGAAACCAATGAGAACAAAGACACAACATACCAGAATCTCTGGGACACATTCAAAGCAGTGTGTAGAGGGAAATTTATAGCACTAAATGCCCACAAGAGAAAGCAGGAAAGATCCAAAATTGACACCCTAACATCACAATTAAAAGAACTAGAAAAGCAAGAGCAAACACATTCAAAAGCTAGCAGAAGGCAAGAAATAACTAAAATCAGAGCAGAACTGAAGGAAATAGAGACACAAAAAACCCTTCAAAAAATCAATGAATCCAGGAGCTGGTTTTTTGAAAGGATCAACAAAATTGATAGACCACTCGCAAGACTAATAAAGAAAAAAAGAGAGAAGAATCAAATAGACACGATAAAAAATGATAAAGGGGATATCACCACCAATCCCACAGAAATACAAACTACCATCAGAGAATACTACAAACACCTCTACACAAATAAACTAGAAAATCTAGAAGAAATGGATACATTCCTCGACACATACACTCTCCCAAGACTAAACCAGGAAGAAGTTGAATCTCTGAATAGACCAATAACAGGCTCTGAAATTGTGGCAATAATCAATAGTTTACCAACAAAAAAGAGTCCAGGACCAGATGGATTCACAGCCGAATTCTACCAGAGGTACAAGGAGGAACTGGTACCATTCCTTCTGAAACTATTCCAATCAATAGAAAAAGAAGGAATCCTCCCTAACTCATTTTATGAGGCCAGCATCATTCTGATACCAAAGCCAGGCAGAGACACAACCAAAAAAGAGAATTTTAGACCAATATCCTTGATGAACATTGATGCAAAAATCCTCAATAAAATACTGGCAAACCGAATCCAGCAGCACATCAAAAAGCTTATCCACCATGATCAAGTGGGCTTCATCCCTGGGATGCAAGGCTGGTTCAATATACGCAAATCAATAAATGTAATCCAGCATATAAACAGAGCCAAAGACAAAAACCACATGATTATCTCAATAGATGCAGAAAAAGCCTTTGACAAAATTCAACAACCCTTCATGCTAAAAACTCTCAATAAATTAGGTATTGATGGGACGTATCTCAAAATAATAAGAGCTATCTATGACAAACCCACAGCCAATATCATACTGAATGGGCAAAAACTGGAAGCATTCCCTTTGAAAACTGGCACAAGACAGGGATGCCCTCTCTCACCGCTCCTATTCAACATAGTGTTGGAAGTTCTGGCCAGGGCAATCAGGCAGGAGAAGGAAATAAAAGGTATTCAATTAGGAAAAGAGGAAGTCAAATTGTCCCTGTTTGCAGATGACATGATTGTTTATCTAGAAAACCCCATTGTCTCAGCCCAAAATCTCCTTAAGCTGATAAGCAACTTCAGCAAAGTCTCAGGATAAAAAATCAATGTACAAAAATCACAAGCATTCTTATACACCAACAACAGACAAACAGAGAGCCAAATCATGAGTGAACTCCCATTCACAATTGCTTCAAAGAGAATAAAATACCTAGGAATCCAACTTACAAGGGATGTGAAGGACCTCTTCAAGGAGAACTACAAACCACTGCTCAATGAAATAAAAGAGGATACAAACAAATGGAAGAACATTCCATGCTCATGGGTAGGAAGAATCAACATCGTGAAAATGGCCATACTGCCCAAGGTAATTTACAGATTCAATGCCATCCCCATCAAGCTACCAATGACTTTCTTCACAGAATTGGAAAAAACTACTTTAAAGTTCATATGGAACCAAAAAAGAGCCCGCATTGCCAAGTCAATCCTAAGCCAAAAGAACAAAGCTGGAGGCATCACACTACCTGACTTCAAACTATACTACAAGGCTACAGTAACCAAAACAGCATGGTACTGGTACCAAAACAGAGATATAGATCAATGGAACAGAACAGAGCCCTCAGAAATAATGCCGCATACCTACAACTATCTGATCTTTGACAAACCTGAGAAAAACAAGCAATGGGGAAAGGATTCCCTATTTAATAAATGGTGCTGGGAAAACTGGCTAGCCATATGTAGAAAGCTGAAACTGGATCCCTTCCTTACACCTTATACAAAAATCAATTCAAGATGGATTAAAGATTTAAACGTTAGACCTAAAACCATAAAAACCCTAGAAGAAAACCTAGGCATTACCATTCAGGACATAGGCGTGGGCAAGGACTTCATGTCCAAAACACCAAAAGCAATGGCAACAAAAGCCAAAATTGACAAATGGGATCTAATTAAACTAAAGAGCTTCTGCACAGCAAAAGAAACTACCATCAGAGTGAACAGGCAACCTACAACATGGGAGAAAATTTTCGCAACCTACTCATCTGACAAAGGGCTAATATCCAGAATCTACAATGAACTCAAACAAATTTACAAGAAAAAAACAAACAACCCCATCAAAAAGTGGGCAAAGGACATGAACAGACACTTCTCAAAAGAAGACATTTATGCAGCCAAAAAACACATGAAAAAATGCTCATCATCACTGGCCATCAGAGAAATGCAAATCAAAACCACTATGAGATATCATCTCACACCAGTTAGAATGGCAATCATTAAAAAGTCAGGAAACAACAGGTGCTGGAGAGGATGTGGAGAAATAGGAACACTTTTACACTGTTGGTGGGACTGTAAACTAGTTCAACCATTGTGGAAGTCAGTGTGGCGATTCCTCAGGGTTCTAGAACTAGAAATACCATTTGACCCAGCCATCCCATTACTGGGTATATACCCAAATGACTATAAATCATGCTGCTATAAAGACACATGCACACGTATGTTTATTGCGGCATTATTCATAATAGCAAAGACTTGGAACCAACCCAAATGTCCAACAATGATAGACTGGATTAAGAAAATGTGGCACATATACACCATGGAATACTATGCAGCCATAAAAAATGATGAGTTCATGTCCTTTGTAGGGACATGGATGAAACTGGAAACCATCATTCTCAGTAAACTATCGCAAGAACAAAAAACCAAACACCGCATATTCTCACTCATAGGTGGGAATTGAACAATGAGATCACATGGACACAGGAAGGGGAATATCACACTCTGGGGACTGTGGTGGGGTGGGGGGAGGGGGGAGGGATAGCATTGGGAGATATACCTAATGCTAGATGACGAGTTAGTGGGTGCAGCGCACCAGCATGGCACATGTATACATATGTAACTAACCTGCACAATGTGCACATGTACCCTAAAACTTAAAGTATAATAAAAAAAAAGAAAAGTAAAAAAAAAAAAAAATCAAAAATGGATTTGTGTTTAGCGTGCCTTGTATATCCTGGTCTGGTTATGAATAATTTAGCCTTCCCCCGGCTGAATAGACTATATTTAGCAAATCCTATTTTGCTTATAATATGTCCTATCTTTTTATGAAGTATAAAGCTTGAGAGAGCTGCTCAGAATTAGGGGTGACTTTATTTTGTGGGAGCAGGAGTGCAGATGTGTCCTCACCTGCAGTCCCACCCTCACCACATACCTGGGTGGCCAAGAGCAGAAGTGCTTAGGGCACGTGTAGTTGAGAAGAGCCTTAGGATTGTGTCTCCTCAGTTGGGCACAGGACAGGGCTATCCACCCGTGTGGTTGGTGGCTCCTGGCTGAAACATCTGCCTAAGTGGGGGGATGGTGGCAAGATTTGAGGGGTGTTAAAAGGTGTCACTTTCCTCCTGTCTTGTTAGTGTCCCAGCAGGAAAAGGATGGCACACTCAGATCAGGTCATTTGAAGGGACTGTAATAGGCTCTGTACAGCAGTGCAGACGGGGTAAAGGGAACCCACAGGGGAGAATGCAGAGCATCAGGGCTCCTTACCTTTTCGAGGTCTGAGAAAGCACAGTTAGGGAGCAGTTCCTGGAACCCAGAACAGGAAAGCTGTGTGGACTGGCTGCCTAATGGGAGTGCAGGCTTGGGTCAGGGACAGTCTGTGGTGACTCCACAGGGAGAGAACCAGGGGGATGAATAACCCCAGCTGAACTCTCCTTCCTTTTTCTTATCTCCTGCAGGTACCACCCCACCTCCATTGCTTAAACCCAATTAGAAAGACAGAAGCAAGGAAGCCCCTGATCTTATCCATGTAGGTCAGCCTTCCAGGGAAAGAAGAATAGAGAGTGGATCTGGAGGTGCAAATGGAAGATTCCAACACACCCCATAAATATCTCCTGTAGTTCCATGCCCAGAATCAGGGCCCTGCTGTGAGTTGTACTGCATCTCTTCTAGAAGGCACTCATTAACTTGCAAACATCCAAACTTGGGAAAGTGACACCCTTCCTTATTAGTACAAGGTCTGGAGTGGTCCATGAAATTGGCTGGCTATCATCTGTTTTAGGGGTGGAACACAGGACAGGGACATCTTATGAATAAGGTAGAAATGGCAGTAATGGTGGGGTGCCAAAGGTGCAGGTTCAGAGTGGCTCAGTGAGAAGCAGCCCCGCACTGTGTCTGTGTAACTGCTCTGGACACCTGAGTGGTGGGGGGAAGGGGAAGGATTATGGATATGGAAGATGGATTCAGTGGCGTTACTTTGGGACCTGCCAGAAGCAGATACTCAATCCCATTTGTTGAGTGCCAGGGGTCTTCCAGGAATTCATCCCCAAGTCAGTTTTTTTAGAAGGTAGAACATATTTTCCTGTAAATAGCAGTGCTATGAAAACTGATTAAGATTCTCCACTACTCCTCAAAAGTCTATTTAGATGCTGGGTGGTAAGTACAACAGTGTTTGTTAAATTGTTTTCTGTTATTTTCTGTATGTTTGAAATATTTCACATATGAAATAAAATGAGTTAAAAATTTAGTTTAATACATAATCTGATCTCCCTGTGTCTTGGGAGGAGGGTCAGTGGAGATGAGGGAGGAGAAGTTAGAGAAGGAAAAAGAATCCCTTTTCCATTATTTTTCTGGGCAAAACTTTGAAACAGGTCAGGCATGTCCTTTGCTTTCTCCCAGGTTCCCTCTGGCAACCTCACCCTGCTCTGCCCCGCATGCTGCCCGCCTCGTCCAAGTGACAGCTCCATCCCCTCTGACCCCTGCCTCCCCCAAGTCAGCCTTCTGAATGCAGAGCTTTCAGGTTCTTCCCCTTCAAAAGTATGATGTGGCTAGTCTTGGGAAGTGGTTAGAAAATATTTCCATTATCTGTTGATGCTCAATAAACAATGTTAAAATTTATCAGCTTGAAACAACCATCATTTTATCTCCTTATGCTCTCGTGGGCCAGGAATTTGTATAAGGCGAAGTGGACACAATTAACCATTATTGTGCTCATGGTGTCTGGTCTTGACTAGAAAGGCTCATGTGGCAAAATCCAGCCAGGGAGGCTCAGCGGGGTTGTATGTTTGGGTCTCTGGTTCTGGCTGCTCTCTGGGCTCCCTGGTCCTCCTCCTCATGGCCTCTTCATGAGGTCAGCCTGGGCTTCCTCATTGCATGGTGGTCTGAGCAGTTTCATTCATTTCTACATTGTATCTGGCTTCTCCCAGCAGAAGTAGAGGCTGCTGGTCTTTTTAAAGCCTAGACCAATAACTGCAGAGTCACTCTGCTACCTGCCGTATTGATCAAGGCAAGTCTTAAGGCTAACCCAGATTCAAAGAGAAGGGAAACAGATGTCGCCTTCTGAGGAAAGCAGCATGTGTGTGACAGTGAGGGAAGGAGTGGACAGTGGCCATCTTTGGAGACCGTCTTTCCCACAGAGGAATCAGGCAGGCTTAAATGTACACTGGGGTGAATGATGGATAGCTTCATGTGGCATTAAAATAATGGCTGCAAATTCTTTGACATTCTTTCCATAAAGGGGTCATTCCCTCTTTTTGAATCTGGCTGGTCATGTGATTGTTTAATCAAATGTGGTGGAAGTGACTCTGGGTGACTTCCAAGGCTAGCTCAACAGAGCCAAATAGCTTCTGCCTGGCTCTCTTGGGACATATACCCTGGGGGACGCCAGGTGCCATGTAAGAGTTTGGCCACCCTGAGGCCACCATGCTGGAGAGACTACCTATGAAGATTCCATTCCGCAGCCCAGCTGAGCCCCAGCCCACAGCCAGCACCAGCTGCCCCCACGTGAGTGAGCCATCTTGGGTGTCCAGTTGGTTGAACCTTCATATGGCACAGCTCCGGCTACCATCTTTCCTCTACTGCATGAAAGACCCCAAGTGAGAACTGCCCACACAAGCCCTTTCCACATTCCTGACCCACAAGATGGTGAGTAAAATAAAATGGTTCTTTTAAGCCATTACGTTTTGAGGGGATTTGTTATGCAGCAATATTATGGGAGCACTTAATAAACCTCCTGGAGGTATTTCTATTTGAGGAATTGAATTCAGCAGTGAAGTAAAAATTCAGGTAACCAGGAAAAGACATTTAAGAGGGGCGGAGGGGTGGGAATATAAAGCAGTCACATTAGTGTTGACTGAGAGTTGGGCTTCCCTAAGTAGCTCCTGCTTTTCACAAACTCTTCCTTTCCCACAATTATGAATCCACAGTCAAGATTCAAGTCACCTCCTTTTCTGAACTCCAGCACCCTCATCTGAAAACGGGATATAAATACTTTTTTGAATTTCTGCAATGCCTAGATGAGGTAACATTCAAGAAATCATCTAGCACATTGCCTGACATATAAGTGCTTGACAATTCATGGAATATGAATCTGAGAGCGTGTTCATTCAACAAATATTTATTGAGCAACTAGTTTGTGAAATCTTGCGTTAGGTGCTGGGACTCTGGGAGTCCCAAATATTTCTGTATTTCTGGCTTATTTTAGATCCAGTGGCTATATATACAAGCCTTCTTCTGACTTGAGGCTGAGGACCGGGGCAGACAGTCTCGGCCTGGGGGAGAAAATTCAGTCCTGAACTGTAGCTTCCTCTAGTCTCCCATTGTAAGGTGTGCAAGAAGTCCAGGGTCCAGAGGGGCCCAGGAGTTCCATGTCAGAAAAAGCTTAAACTAGTTATTAGGAGGTTGGGGTTGTGGTGTCAGAATGCTGGAGCCCAAATTTCAGATTTTTCACTTACTAGCTAATTGATCTTCAGCAATTTATTTAACCTCTTTGGGCTACAATTTTATCAGGAAATAGTGATAATAATAGTGACTACTCTGGTGTGGTTATTGTGAGTCTTCAAGCTGAGTGTCAGCCACATTCCAGTATTTAGTCTAGACCCGCCCAGTTCTGATGATAATGATGATATTGTTATATTATCACTGTCATTACACTCACCCTTGGAAACTCAGCATAGACGTGCACAGACAAGCTTTGGAGCCAGGCTGTTAAGACCTTGAATGAGGGGGGCACAGGCATTTTGTCTTACAGACAAAGGGGCTTTGAAAGCTGGAGAATGGCAGGATCAAGCTCTTTCTCCCTCCCTCTCTTCTGCTCCCTCTGCCCTTGCTTTCTCATTTCCTGTTCTCTCCCCTCCTTTAAAATGATGACAGTATGTTCAAGTTGTGAAAATCAAAGGAATAGATTAGAAACAGGAGAATAAATGTGCTTAGCAGGCCCAGGAAATCTCCAGGGGATTGGAATTGATTACCCAGAGTGTAACACACAAAATGATCATTTTTCTGCATGTGGTGAACAATGGGAATGAAGTAGAGGGTTTGAAATACCTCCCTACCGGATCCCCTCAACCCAGTGGGTTTTCTCGGTGATGGAATAGAGCCATAGGGCTGAGCAGGTGTGGACTGGACCACCTCTTGGTGGCCTCTTTCTGGAAGGGTTGGTGTTAGAGGAAAAACAGAACCTTTTCCAGAACACTTAGCCACCTTGTTTAACTTAGAGAGAAGACTCTGCCTGTCCTTAGAGATGCTAGGACCTTGGGAAGTTTCATGGGTGAAAGTATTGATGCTTTATGTAGGAGGTCACAGAGGCCTATAAAATATACCCTGATGCCTTTCCCCAGATGAGAAAGGACCTCTCTGAATGAACTCTGTGTGGGCCCCACACAGCCCTGTTGTCATTTAGGGTGGTTTCCTGGCTCTGGACCTTAGAAGGATTCAATAGAGCCAAGCATTACTTTAAAATCAAGAACCCTGATTGCAGGATGGGTGCAGGCTGGAGGATGGCTTGTAGGGCCAGGAACTTCAGAGTTTTGTTTTGTAATTCATTTTGGCTTGAGTCGAGATTGGCCGTGGGAACCTGGCTTTATGTACTCAAGTCACTATGAGGAATGAAGTCACCATTCATAGTTAAGTTGCTTATCTGTCTATCTGAAAGGATAAGACTCTGATTTCCAGCTGCAGTTTATCTTCTTTTCATCTTGAAGGTCGAGATTTATTTGAATAAAGAGGTGAAGGTACATGAGCTGCCAGGCTATATGATATCTTTGCATATTTTAGATAAAAGCACTCCTTCAGGGGATATGTAGCCCATCAAGTTCATGACTTAGAAGCCGGCATGGCCTATACTTTAGTCTTCTAATTAATCCCTGGTCAGGGAGAATTTATGCAGTGCTCAACTTGCACAATCAGATGTGGCAGCCCTGCATGAAGGGACAATTTACAATAATAGGCTGAAGTAGTGCATCGGAGGGGTGCATGGCCTGGGTGTCTCTATTCCTGGGTCCTTTGGATCCTGAAACTAATCTCCCATTTTTCTCAAGCACTGGTTCTCAAACTTGAGCATGTATCGCAATTGTCTGAAGGGATTGTCGAAACACAGATTGCTAGCTCCCAACCACAGAGCCTTGCTAATTTAGTAGATCCAAAGTGGAGTCCAAGAATTCGAATTTCTTAAGAAGTCCCCAAATGATGCTGATGCTCTTGGTCTGGGGACCACATTTTGAGAACATTTTCTCTGGAGCCCAGTTTCCCAAACCAGAATGTCCCACTTCCAGGCCCTAGCTACTTGGCTTGTTCATCAAAAGCAAAAATACTTTCTTATATAGTGGTACAGGTTAGTCATCAAATATAAGGCTTTACTAGAACTTTCTGGGAGGGGTTCTTGCTGACTCCTTCCTCATACTCTAGGAGCCCATTGATTAATTTGGAGAGCGTCTGCAGCATCTCATCTAGCACAGACATCAATGCCGCAGTGGAGTGGAACCAGTTATCCTTTTCTAAACCTCTCATATCCTGCATGCATTCCCTCCTAGAGTATTGTTTTTTTGGACTAAAACATCTCCTGCTTGATTTTAGTCTGGAGATCTATTTTTTATGTCTGCAGAAAATATGCTGTGCTATTTTTTTATTACCCAAGTGTAAAAAACAAAACAAAACAGAAAACTTAGTGTGTTAGAAAATTACACAGAGGCAGTTTAGCACTCAGACTACTTAAAACACAAGCACACACACGTGCATGCACACATAAACAGGCTTCTTTGGAGACATCTCTGAGTTGAGTTGAGTGAATAAAGGGCTGTCTGGGCCATTATTCTGAGCCAATGAAGTTTGGACTATCTGGAATTCAGTTATTGGTATAAGGCTCCCTCTTGGCAATCAAGGAGTAAAACTAGGACACGCATTTTCGGAGCTGTTGGAGTTTCACGCTCCTCTGTAGTCTTGGAAATGGCTTGGCATGCTTTCAGATGTGGATGGCCTTCCTACTGACACTCTCAGGACCACAGGACACTTTTTAAAAGTTTGACCACCAAATCGCCACATCTCGTTAGTGGCAGCGGTTGCTTTATCTGTGAGAAAAACTGTCTTTCTTAGCTTCTCAATTTGTCACCTGTGCAATGATTTATTACCTTCCAAAGCTGCAGTAATTGTATAATGATGCAAAGTAATGACAAGCCATTCTGATAAACTTTATTACCTGTAGCATCTTGTATTCAAACTGTATTCCAGCATGTGCTATAGGATTGCAGAGCACACCCCCATGGCTGAAAGCTAGTGGAGGTTTGGGGTAGGCACGGGGGAGATGTGTTGCTTCTCAGGCCTGAGAAGGAAGGAGAAAAAGAAGTGAAATCCAAACTTCTTGAATGGTGGCTATGAGGAACTGGGCTGGGGTGAATTGATTCCATTTGGGGTACACATGTCAAATGGGTGTACCTTTATTTTTTTATCCCAATAATGTTATATTTACTATTTTAAATTGAGAATACAGAATTAGATCATAAAAAACATTAATGAAATATATGTTCAAAGTAACATATATAAACAGTATTCATAGATGAACTTCCATTTTCATCTTCAACACTCACCTTTTTGAGCCTCTCCTTTTTATCAAATGACTAAGCTTTCGACCTTCACACAGCTTCAGCTGTACCTTTGCTTGAGGTGAATGGTAAAGTACTGCACAGTGTTCTGGGCTGAGGATATGAGAAGGCTGTATTCCAAGGTAACTTTCAGATTTGCTTTTCATTTTGGAAGCACATATGAAGTTCAAAAGCCCTTGATGTGGAATTGAGAACTGAGAGACAAAATTGTAGTCAAGGATGTCTGAAAAGAGGTTCTTCCAGAGATCAGTGCTTACCTGACTTGGGTCTGTGGTTAAGGGGCCTATCTCCCATTATCTTCCTGAACCAAAGAGTAATGAGGTCCCCTGTATAGCTGACTGTGGAGGCAAAAAGAATGGGTAGGAGTCCTTTGCTGTCTCCCCTCCTTCATGGCAACGTGCCCATGATGACAGGCTCTGCTTCTTTCTTTATCAATGAACTCTCTTGGAGTTGTATCAATGGGCTTAGGCCAGGCCTGTGTTCTGAGTGTGGGGCCTTGGTGGTGAAGTCCAGAAGGGACTATACCAGGGAGCTGATCTTGCTTGTGTTGACCAATGTCCACTTTTTTTGCCTGCATGGGCTCAGAGTTGAACTATATTTCCCAGCCTCTCTTGCAGTTAGATGGGACCTCTCTTGCAGTTACCTTGTTCTGGCCAATAGAATGTAGGCATTTCCAGGACTGGCCATAACATCTCCCTAGCATGGTCCTCCTTTCTCTCTCTTTCCACTATCGGCCAGTGGAGGATACCAATGAGAAAGGACGAAAGCACCACAGATGGAAGCAACCTTTGGAAACTGAGTCACTGCTTGGAGGAGAGACTCCTATGTTTTCACTGGACTGTGATGTTAATGAGAAATAAATCCTTTTGTTTCAAGGCACTGAGATTTCAGAATTAATGTGTTACCGTGGCATAATCTACCTTATTCTGACTACTTGGCTCTGAAAAGCCATGGAAGAGGTTAGTCTATGCCCACAGCCATGTCTTAGACTCCTTGAAACTGGGCAAGGTCTACCTGCTTGAACATGGATTTATTTTCCTCTGAGTTTTCAAAATTGGTAAGTGTTTCAGTATAGGAGTAAAAATGGTGACTGCAACTCTGGAGAAGCTCAGATCCTCAGACATTTCAAGGGAGATAGTGGTTCAAGGCAAGGCTAGACCAGGGTTTCTCAGTGTTGGGACTACTGATACTTTGGGCCAAATGGTTCTCTTTTTGCAGGACAGACCTGTGTGCTGTAGGATGCTTAGCAGTCTCCCTGGCCTCTTTCCACCAGATGACAGTAGTGTGCCCCCTCCTGCCCCAGTTATAACAATCAGAAATGTCTCCAGACATTGATAAATGTCCCTCAGGGGGCAAAAATCAACCCTAGCTGAGAATCACTGGGCTAGAGAAAGCTTTTGAGACATCAGAAATATGCATTTTCCTCTTCTCCGTGGCCAAGAGGAATGTGTTCTTGTTTCTTTTCCCTACTTCATTTCATGTCTTGAAATGTTCCTTGACTCCTCATAAGACATGAAGACCAAAGCTGGCTTATTGGTGTTGAAAGCCCTCCATGAGTGGGAATGTGCTGCTTCTACCAGATTTCCTCCTACTCCCATATTAATTATCTGTAGTGGTAAAGTGTATTACCCCAAAACCCAGTGGCTTAAAACAACAATGATTTATTCTTATAGTTCCTGTGGGTCAGAAATTCAAGAGTGGCTTTGTGGGTGTCTCTGGCTCCAGGTTAGGCATGTGGTTGCAGTCAGGATGTTGTCAGGGATAACTATGTAATCTGAAAGCTTGCCTGGGCATGGAGGATTTGTTTCTAAGGTGGCTCCTGACATGACTGCTGGGGGAGCCCTCATGTCCTTACCATGCAGGCTTCTCCATAAGCTGCTTGGGCATCCTTACAACATGGCAGCTAATCTCCTGAGAGCAAGTAATATAAGAGAGTGAGCAAAAACAAGGAAGAAGCCTCGGCATCCTTTATAACATAGTCTCTGCAGTCATACCCTGTCATATCTGCCTCGTCATACTCACTAGACGAAGACACTAAGCTCAGCTCATACTCAAGGGAAGGGCAGTTGACCTCCACTTTTTGAAGGCAGAAGTATTGAAGAATTTGTAGACATATTTTAAAACCATCACACCCCCAGGGGTGAAGCCTTCTCTGCTTAGGTACACTGGGCTGCTCACCAATCCCAGACACACTAGGCTTGTTCCTTGGTTTGTATTCCCCTGATCCCTGCTACCCACAGCACTTTCAGAGTCTTCCAGACACTCTCCAATTCCCACTGGAATGTGAACTCATCTGGTGGTTCCCTCTGGAAAAGCATTTGTAAATTCACTCAGGGAAGTTATAAAGTAACAATGATTTGGAGTCTTGTCTCTCCCAGGAGTATGGGCAACTGTAGGAACTCCTAAATAATGCTGAGCTATGACCAAGAGTGTCACCATGCTAATGGTGGGATTTCGGATCTCACTGAAATTCTTGAGAAAGACTGCTTAGTGCTGGGCATGTGAGAGACAACTGCCACCTCCCTCTCCCAATCTCTACCCTGGCCTGGTTCTCAGTTCCTCCTGAGCCCAGTGACTGCCTCCCCAGCAGCCTTTGAACCCAGATCAGGTAGCATAATGGTACACAGGCTGCCTAGGTTTGAATCCCAGCTCCCAAACTGTGACAGAGGTGGCTTGCTAACTACTCATGCTTTGCATTGCCTTTTCATAAGGTAGAATGGTGACTGGGAAGTGGCTGTGTCACCAGGGTTGACATTTCTCATTCCTTGCTTGCATCCAGGTTTGTCCCTGTGCGTGAGCTCCAGCCCCTGGACTGTGGATGGAAGTGAGGCGACATGGCCCACAAGCCCCTCCTATGGGACCCTCCATGGGCTCCCTTCCCCATCTGCTGGCTTAAGGTAGCTTCCCGGAGAGCCACACCAGGGGCCACATGGTGAGGACAGCAGGTAGCGGCTCTGTGAGCCAGATCCTGAATGTCCACTGCTCTTGCCAACATGAAGACTTTCCAAGAGTGAGATACAGGTTTCTATCATGTTGACCCTGTAAGATTTCAGTGTTCATCTGTTACAGCGGCTAGTATTACTTAACTAATATAATCACTTTTTCACTCTATAACTTTGAGAAAATTTACTTAACCTTTTTTATCTCAGTTTCTTTTTTTTTTTTTTTTTCTGAGACGCCCTGTCGCCCTGGCTGGAGTGCAATGGCATGATCTTAGTTCACTGCAACCTCCGCCTCCCGGGTTCAAGCAATTCTCCTGCCACAGCCTCTGGAGTAACTGGGATTACAGGCACCCGCCACCATGCCTGGCTAAGTTTTGTATTTTTTTTTGGAGATGGGTTTCGCCATGTTGGCCAGAGTTGTCTTGAACTCCTAACCTCAGGTGATCCACCCGCCTCAGCCTCCCAAAGTGCTGGGATTACAAGTATGAGCCACCGCTCCCGGCCTTACCTCAGTTTCTTCATCTATAAACTGGAATAGTAAGGGTAGTCACCCCACAGGGTTGTAATGATGGATAGATGAGTTCAAGCCAATAAAACACTGAAAACAGTGTCTTCCCATAGTACATGCTCTGTAAGGTTACCTACTCTTCTTATTAATTAGGATAAATTATTGCCATCTGCCTGAGCACTGTTATGTAGAAAAGACTTTTTGCTTCAAAACAGTTTTCTCTCTGATTTATGGAGACTTTCTGGGATCCAGCGGGGGCTCAGCTAGAAGACAAAGCTGTCGTGTAATTCAGCTAAAGGAAAATCCAAGCCGACATCAGGGGTGGGGTTGGATAATGGTTCTCTGCAATCTCACCTGTCCAGAGGCTTGGCAGTTGCTTCTGGCTCAGCACATAGGAGATGTCCTCACTATGCAAATGTCCTTGCTAGGCCTGGGTACTGGGTGGACAACTGGCCTCAGCAGGGTGAGAGTGTGGCTCTGTGCTGGTAAGTGTCAGTGGGAGCCATGCAGTGACCTTTGCTTGGCTGCTCCTCCTTCTAGCATGGAGGCATCAGGCTTGTGGTCCTGGCTAAGCTCACTCCTGGAGTAAGAGAGTAAAGCACCCCCTGTCTCCCCTTAAAGAACCCTCACTGTGCTTAGTTCAGCCTGTTCCTCCACTTGCGAGGCTTTAGAATGGCCTTTTTTGTTTTAGTGGTTGAGTGGAGGATGGGACTGGGTGCTGGAGCGAGACTTTAGATTGGCCTTTTTTGTTTTAGTGGTTGAGCGGAGGATGGGACTGGGTGCTGGGGAGGGAGGAATCACTTAGATGTTGCAGCAGGGCCTGTTTTTATTTACTACCATTTTCTCATTTGGATGTGTCAGGCACTCAGTGGTATTTGTAGTAGTCCTCTCAGTATTACTGAGCTGGGAGATGCACTTGGGGAAGTGTTTGCTATCTCAGTGTCTTGGCTACTCTAAACAGGCTGGGGATTTACTGAGGTCAGCAATGGTTGGATGATCAATAAAGCATTTCAGATAAAACTCCATTTTTGCCTCCAGCAAATTCCCAGCATTACTTTGCCTTTGTAAACAACATCTTAAAGAATGCTGATCGTAAATCATCTCCAATGCACCTTTACATCCCTCATGCCATGCGTGCCTCCTAATAATTTCGCACGAGAGGCAAGGAGGAATCTTTGTACCGATGAAGACACGGAAGCCCAGAGGGCTAAGTTGACTCGCCTTAGGTTCTAGTGAGTTAGTTGGGGGACAGATTAGAATCCCAGTCTCCCAGTGCTGGGCCCCTGCCTGGTGGAGTCTTCAGCACTTTGGTTAATGCAGGGCTCAGAAGCTTCCCTATCCTGGGACAGGGCCCCCCGCACAGCTGATGAGTGCTAACCGGTGGACGGGCTACAGGCAGCCACGAGTTCACCAAGGCTGGCAGAGCTGAAGGCTTACCTCTCCCGCTGTCTGGGCAGGCTGGCAGGTGATCACATTTTCCTCTGGACCTAATTACCTGAGAAGAAAAGAACATTTCACTGTAAATCCACTGAAGTGCCATCTAAGCAGCCTGCAAGTAGAGGTAAGCTGAGGATGAGTTTTACCCAAGAAGGAAAATATCAAGTGTGGATGGTCCCATGCAGTGTGACCTACTGGGTCCAGAAACCCGGCTCTGCAGGTTTTTCATTAACCCCTGAGAGAAGCACCTTCCAAGCTGTAGTCAGTGTGGAGGTTCACACACATCTAGGTTTGGTAATGAATAAAGAGTGGCTGGAAAACATGACCGCTTCCTGGGGAAACCCAGTGCGAAAAGGAGCTGGCAAGCACATCACATCCTCAGAACTGGCTGGAAGGATGCAGGAGAGGGACTGAAGCAGGGGTCCTCTTGCCCAACTCTCATAACACGTCCTGCGAGGGCCTGCCTACTCCCACATTGAGCAAGGCTTTCTCTGAGGCATGTGCCCGGGGAAGTGGCTCCTCACCCACGGGGTGAGGACTGGGACCAAGTTTCATATCTGAAATGGCTCTGTCCCTTATCCCAAGCTACCAAGTCACCTGGGAGTGGACAGTGGGCAGTTGTTTGTTAGCATGTACAGGTACCAAACCAGGCCAAGCCCTGAGCACAGGGAAATGCTGCTGTTAGCCTGACATGGATAGAGAGGGCAGGTGTGGAAGGCAAATGGAGTAGCATTGTCACTTAGCGTTCAGCATGGGTTGCAGCCAGCTCCTAAGCTCACAAGAACCAATTAAAGTCTCAGGAATTTGGCGAACTCATTGATATGTTCTTGATAGCTTCCAATTGGTCATGGTGAGAATATTTGCACAATAATTGGCAATGTTCCGGGAGCCAGTTCTTAAACATTTACCAGCATAGCACTGCATAGAATTGTCTCAAAGGTGGATTTTCTTAACTTGATGCTAGACATCCCCAGATTTTGCTAAGACTTGCATACTTCCTATCAGTGACTTCCAGGCAGCCTCACTCCTGATTTGGCATGACCTAAATTCTCTTCTTTTCTCTACTCTGGCAGGTGGGCAGCAGGCTGCTGTGGTCTGCCCTGCAGGGTGAGGATTCTGTATCCTCTCATTTAGGGGAAAGGCCCATCAACCTTCAAGTGATGGCTGCTATTCCTGGTGGTACTGCTTGTCAGACATGCGCTGTACCACTCTGACCTCCAGCTCCCCCGTTCCTTCTTCCTGCGCACGTGGTTCCTCCGTCCAGGCTCTGTGGCTGAAGGCTGCCATCTGCTCACACTTTCTCCTTGCTCTCAGGGCGGACCTTCTGCTAGGCCAGCACACGCTGCTGAGGAGCCCCCTGGGCTGCAGCAGTAACCCACATTTCTTGCATTTTTGGATCTTCTTTTCCTTTAACTTTAAGGGCTTAGCTGATTTAAGGGATGGCCCCTAATTTAACTTCATCTTCTTTGGCCCTTGCTGAGTAAGCCAACATCACACTAGCTTCCATTTAGGGCGTGCTCACCACATGCCCCTTCCATGCATTGTCTCACATGCATTGTTGTCTGCTCCATTTCACTGATGAGAAACAGTGGCCAGATGGGCACTAAGTGGTCAGAGAGGGATTCAAAGACAGGTCTGTTTGGTTCCAAAGCCTGCACTCATGACAACTCTATTCCACTGTCTCTCCATCACAGAGACTACCAGGGAGATGCCAAGATGGTACGGGGTAAGGCAATGCCTGTGATCTGCACTGCAGGTCTGGGAAGCCTTCAGTACCCAATGGAGTGGCGTTGGCACAGAGGCTTCAAAGGTGGTTTCGCTGCGCTTGAGATGGGCACCGAGGAATAAAATATTTTCTGGATATGTTGCTTGCATTTTGTATTAGTTTCCTGAGGCTGTCATAACAAATTACCACAAGCTGGGTGGCTTATACATCAGAAATTTATTGTCTTGCAATTCTGTAGTCCAGGAGTCCAGTGTCAAGGTTGGTCCCTTTGGAGGGCTGTGAAGAAGAATCTGTTCCAGATGCCTTCCCTAGGTCCTGGTTGTTTGCTGGCAATCTTTGGCATTACTTGGCTTGTAAAAGCATCACCCAGATGGCTGCCTTCATCCTCACATGGAGTTCTCTGTCTGTCTGTGGCTTTGTGTCTAAATTTCTCCTTTTTATGAGGGCACCAGTCATATTGAATTAAGGTGCACCCTAATGAGCCCATCTTAACTGTGACATCTTCAATGACTCTATTTCCAAATATGATCACTTTCTGGGATACTGGGTGGGGGGGTTCAGCCTTCAACATATGAATTTTGGGGAGGTGGGGTGCAATTCAACCCATAATAGCTTTGTTCATATCAGCTCTTAAACTGAGAAGAACTATTTAAGGAATGCCTTTGTTCTTTCCATTTCTTGTTACAAACCATTTTCTGCACTGCAACTCCTGATGAAATGAAGTAGACATTTCTCTCTATTCTGAACTGATTCCCATCTCCTAACTGTCATGTAAAGCAACTCCCCAGGCCATCTGGGTATATCTTCTCCAGATCCCCAAGGGCTTCCTCAGGCCTCTGTTCCTTGGACATGGTGAAAGCACATGTGTGGGTGAAGCTTTTCTTTCGCCAGTGATCTGAGCTGTTTCTCTCCAGACCCTGGGGTGTTCTGCTCCGATGGGCTTTATTTTGAGTCTACTGTTCTGAATATTCTATGACCTGCAGGTGGAACACCCAGCACAGATGAAATGATTTGGTGAGTTCTGTCCAAGCTAGTAGCTGCTGCTAATGGGGCTGGTTAGAATCTTCGCCCTAAGTACTGTGGTCCTGCTGATAGAACCAACTCATTCACACACAGTGGGGTGTAGCTACTTAGAGAAAGGAAGAGAAGCTTTGCTTGAGGAATGATGCTGGCTATTTCTGGCATGGAAAAC
The DNA here is from genome assembly GCF_000001405.40 of Homo sapiens. Lineage (NCBI taxonomy): Eukaryota > Metazoa > Chordata > Mammalia > Primates > Hominidae > Homo > Homo sapiens. The sequence goes on along the minus strand of NC_000002.12, from coordinate 23,210,138 downwards.
AGTGGGAGCCAGGGAAGAAATGGGGGCAGCTGCTTAGCTCTGGGGTGCTGCTCCTCTTGGGCACATCGTTGCTGTGTACTCTCTTGGGACATCCCTTAGGCCATCGAGGTCTCTCCAAGACTCCTCTGCCCACCAGCAGGCACTCCTTTTTCAATGGTGAGCTGAAAGTCTCAGGGGCTACATGGTGATTCCCCAAGGCCAACCTGGGACAGACATAGTTCCCCTGAACTCCCAGACTGGACACGTCCACTTGAGCCCATCACTTATTCCACCTTTGTCTTCATTCAACCAAGGACAAGATTGACCAAAAAAGGGATGGAGTGGGGGAAGGAAGAATGTTCTAGGCACAGGGCCACAGGGCCAAAGGTGGTAGGGAAGATGGTCTATGCCTCAAATGAAAGAAGGTGGATCTGGCTGGCTGGATGGATGGTAGGGGGAGGGAGTAAGTGCCAGAGATGAACTACAGAAATTATTTTGCACCTACATGAGGAAAGTCCAAGCTGAGAAGACTGGACTTACCCTGAGGACACTGAGCAGCTTTAAGGACAAGAGTGACATGGAAGATCCCTCTGGAAATTATTTGAATGATTTGAAATGGAGAATTATTTGAATGGAGGTAAGATTAGAGTCAAAAGATGATTGAAGAGGTTGTTGTAATAATTTAGTATTCACTCATTCACTCTCCAGCTCCTGAGTCTCCTCTCTGTGTTGTGGGGAGATGAGGAGTTGGAGAAGGGGTAATGCCTCCTACAGCCTTTAAAACTCTTCTTACAACTGATGGAGGCTGTGTTTCTCCCCTTCACTGGGATGAAGCTGCTACTGGGCTGGCCTGCTCTAGGCTGAGCCCTGTGTGAATTTCCTCATTCTGAAAAAAAAAATACTGGGTGATCATGAGGCTGTCAGCCGTGTTTCCTGCTTCACAAGTAGAGCTTTGTTTGAAGAAGTTTCAGAGTGCAAAAGTCAGATTGAATACAATGGAGACACAAAATGAAATTGCTCTTTACAAGAAATACAGGTGCAATACAATGGAAATACACTTGTTTTAACACCACAAATGTCCTGAGGATTTCTAAAGGCTACTGAGTAGATTAAGCCAAAGTGGATTTAGGAAAGGAAAGAAGGAAGGCTGGTCAGAGAGGCATGTAGGGGTGTGTGGGTGTGTGGGTCAGTACCCATATGTGTGATTGGTAAGCAGGGACTGTATGAACTTGATGGAAGGGCTTTGAACACTAATTAAAAACTCAACCTAGGATAGAGGTTCCACTAGAATGGGAAGAGCTGACTCTTCCTTCCCTACCCCCAGTTATCTCCTCTGTATTCCTGTGTTCACCATTGCCTGCATACATGCAGATACATCCTCATGCTCTGTCTGCTGACTAGTGAGTTCACAGATACCCCACAGACCCTCTGGATTAGGAACCAGGGGAAAGAGGAACGGGAAACAAACATTCCACACACTATGTCTACAAAATGGGAGAATCTCTTCCTGAATTAGGTATTTTTAATCCTGGTCTAGGCTGCTTTCCATGACCTGGGTGAGTACTTTGTACCAAGAGAGTCAGTCAACAGTCAGGAGGTATTTATGTAGTGCCTGCTATATTTCCACATTGCTGTAGGGGCTAAGCTTGCAATCAAGACTGGCAGTTTGCAGGTGTAGAGTGTTTTGTTTGACTTGAACGGTGCAATTTACTTATTTATTTTAGTTTAAATGCCTTTAGATGGAGCAAGCACTTGACAGTTAATCATAGTCTTGCACCTAACTGTTGCTTTGCTTGCAGTTTATGAGAGAAGAGACTCACCTATATGAAAGGATTGTGTCCCTTCAATCCAAGGGGTGAGTCAATGTTCTGGGCAAAAAGTGTCTGAGAGGGCAGGTACCTGAGAGAGCCCGGGGAGTAGCTGGGAGGCTTTGAGGCAGCACGTTTGTTCTTTGAAGTCAAAATGGTTAAAGAATCATTTAGCTTTTTCTTCTGCTTGGCACAGCTTCTACTTGCAAGAGCTGTGGACTTTGGTCCCCAGACAAGTTGGCGTTCAGAGGAAATAAATGATTGAGCGACTAAAGAGGATGTTTTCAGAATGAATTTTCAGTGTTGGGTCTAAATTGAGATGAGGCAGGGGTGGAGAACAATTACTCAGCTCAGAGATTCTCTTCCAAACTGACTTCATCCTTCCTCTGATTCATTCTCAGCATCATCCTAAGCTGCAGAGAGACTGGATCTGGCTTTTTGAGCAGTTAACTGGGTCTTACACTTCCGGCTCACAAGTACTCATGTCCTTGTGTTCATTCAGCCCTTCATTCAACAAATGTTTACTGAGCACCTACTATGTGCCAGGTACTGCCCTAGATGCTAGGGACACAGCAGTGAATCACACTGATACAAATTCTTGCCCTCATGGAACTTACATGCTAATGTATGTGTGTGGGAAGGGGAAGACAGGCAAGAAAATAAATTAGCAAGTTATGTGGTGTGTTAGAAGAAAAAATGATATGCAGAAGATAAAATGGGAATGGGGTGGGGCATGTCATGGGGCAGGTGGGGGAATGATGCAATTATAAATAGGGTGGTCAGGGACGGCTGCACCAGAAGGTGACATCTGAGGCGAGACTGGAAAGAAGTAAGGGATGGCAGGGTAAATACTGGGAGAAAAAACATTGCAGGCAGAGGGATGATTCAGTCAAAGGCCCTAAGGCAGAAACAGGTCTGCTTTATCTGAAGTGGCCTGTGTGATGGAGAAAGGGAAGGAGGAGTCATAGGACAAGACAACAATTGGGGACAGAAGATGTGGGCCTTGCTGGTGATTGTGAGGACTTTGTCATCCACTCTGATGAGGACAGTAGCCATTTCAGGGTTTTGTGCAGAGGAGTGTCATGATCCACCTTACCTTTCATCAGGATCATTCTAATAGATGGTGGGAGCAAGGGTGGAAGCAGGGATTCAGAGCGGAGACTGTTGCAGTGGGCCTGGTGCAGTGGCACTGCTGAGAAGTGGCTGGACCATTGAGAGCTATGAAGGCAGAAGGACCATGTACTTCCTACTCATGTGGTCTCTCTAGGGAGTTTGGTGGGTTGGGAATTCATTGTGCTCCTTATGTGCTAAACATTGTCCTATGTGCTTCACATATAGTATCGTCTCGTTAAGTTCTCTGGCATCCGGTTGAGGAAGACATGTTTCTTCCCATTTTACAGATGTTGAAGTCCAAAGAGGTGAACAATGGAAAGACATCAGCTGTGAGTCAGTGGGGAGTGTCTGAGGATGGAGGCGCTATGGCTCCCTGGAGATCTCTTGGTGTGTCCACATGCCGGGTGGGTCCACGGACAGGAGCTCTTCTGGTGCTTCCCTCACTCCCCACCCGACCCATGCAGTACCCACCCTCTGCAGCTGGGCCCTCCAGCTGGCTCAGCTCAGCCCTGTTTCATGTTTAGTCGGTCTTTGATCTTCACTCTTTAACTAAAGCCAGAGCCAGGTGAAACCTGATTTTATCCTTTTCTCAAATGTGAACTAAGCTCAAAAGAAAGAGAAGGCTGATATGGACCCACATCTAAACTCACATCTGAAATAAAAACTTGAGTGGATTTTCCTGTTGATCTAGAATTGGTCACTGGGGCTGAAATTGAGGACAAAGAGATGGTAAGTCCTGTGCAAGCTGGAGGGAACTGCCAGCACTCGCATACAGCACTAGCCTTGCTGCCACCAGCTCTGCCCCAGGTCCCTCCCAGTGTGTATATGAGAAGGGATTGGAGGGGAGAGAAAGTGTAAGCTAAAGTCATTGCAGCATGGGGTTCATTATGAGAGGCAAACCTCTCGCCCTTCCATTCACCTCTAATTCCCCAAGTCAAGGGAGGGGCTCAAGAGAATTGAGGGTGCCTATAACTAGAAGAAGAAGCTCATATTCTAATTTGTGAATTAAACGTCTGCTTAGATCACCAACCTTCTGATCTGGCCCTATGCTTGGAAGAGCAGGAGGAGAGACAAGGAGGGAGAGAGGGCAGCGTGAACACAGTGTGACCAGAGACAAGCCTGCGTGTCTGCATTTCAGTGTTTTAAGAGGACATGAATTTTCCATGGGTCCAGTGGACAATGTGGAAGGTGGGTGGGCTTGAGTTGCCCTGCCTGTTTTGGCACCTGCTGCTGTGTGGGTGGTGGGCCCCAGCAGCAGGAGACTGCAGTGTGCCAAGGTACACGGAGAGGTAAGAGCTGGAGTTGGACCTCCCATCTCAGAGGAGTGTGCAGGGGAGGGGAGCAGCCCCGGATGGAGGCTTGTTGGTGAGAGTTGAGGCCAACAGCAGAGTTAACTACCAAGCTTGCATTCCTGTTCCATGCTCTTTCCACCCTGAGCTCCAGAGAAGCCAAGCCTTTAAGGGTTGAGAGGCCTAAGGGTCCAGAGTTCCTCACTCCAAGCAGTCAGGGTCCCTGTCAGCCTTGCTGGGGGTTGGGGGAAGGGAGCAGAACGATTTAAATTAAGTTTGAGATTGAAGTTTTAAACATATCTGACTTTTAATAACCCAAAGTGATCAGAAAGTTATGAAATTTGATGAAGGTGCTATTAAGAGATGGGAATGGGTGATTAGATGAGGCTTGATTAAAGGCAGTGAATCGAAAAAAACTCATGTTTATATCCCACTGTGTTGAGACACATTTTAGAACATTATTGAAATGGAACCAAAATCTGAAAAATATTAGGGCTCCAGCCAGCCCTGCTCTGACCTGGACTGTGAGTGAACTGGCAGGCCCTGGCAGTGATTCGTGGGGTGCCTTGTTTGAGGGAGTGGCATTGAACCCTTGGAGTGTGTCCATTGGAGTGCAGAATTGAATGTCACCCAAGTCATAGAAACAAGTGGAGAAGCTCTTCAGAAACATTTAGTGAGCACCAGTTGATTAGTTAAATTAATAATTCAAGTATACAAAACAAGGAGGAAACAAAAGGAAAGATTTCAGAAGTCTCTTAAAATTGGGAAAACTCTGAAGAAGGAATAGGCAGCCACCAATGACAGGAGTCCCATCCATGCAGGATAATGTTCCTGGGAAGCACTTTTTGCCTGGGGATTTTATGGAATATTTAGAACAGTGACAGTCAACAGGGGCTGCCCACGTGCAAAACCCCCTTGTGTTAGGAAGCATTCCCAAACATCTGGGAACCACCTGTGAAGTAGATCTTAGCCTATACTCCTTCCTATAAAAACACTGAGGATTTTTTCTTTTTTAATGTTGGAAGACACTTTCCTAATCCCCCAATTCCCTTCCTTCCTAAGAGAATAACTGGATACTTGGCATACTTTGTGTTTTGGCCACAGAATACATATTTTCACATGACTGTAATCATAGTGCAGACACAATTTTGGTCTCTCCTTTAGCTGTAAGTGCAGACTTCCAGTTACTTCTCTTCATAATGGTAGAATATTCTATTGTAAATGCTAGGGCACACTGAACTTTTCTTGTATGGTTATTAGTATCTTCAAAATTATAGATGCTAGTGTGGTGAATATCTTCATACACATGGAGCTTCCTCCTTTTCAATAATGTTATGAAGATACATTCTCAGAGGTGATGTTTCAGAGTCAGATTAGGTGGCTTTCGTTGACCCTTGTAGCGCTTTTCTGCCGTGGTCCCGACTTACGGCGTTCACAGTGGGACAGGGATATTCCTGGAGGTGTGGATGGGGTGCCCCATGATGGCCTGTCACAGGCAGAGTGCACTGCACAGAAGAAGGAAATGCTGGGATATTTGCAGGCCACTCATTGATCAGGACAAGGAGCTGTGAAGGAACTATTTAGGTTCAAGTATTTGGGGTTGAACAGTGTTGACTTTCCATATTGAATACAGGACATTTATCCATCTCTTCTTCCCAGCCACAATCAATGATGGTTAAACTCTTAAGAGCCCACCTGCTGTTTGTCATTACAAAACCCAAGGTCCCCAGGTAAGATGAAGCCCAAATCATTCATTTACTTTAAGTCCTGGTTTGAGAAATGACTCCAGTACACAGATCTGTGGTAGGTCTCACAGAAGAGGGAAAAGGTGGAGACTACTTTCCCCTTGCTCAGATGAAGCTTCCTTCCCTCCTCTTGACATGCTCAGAGTATGGCACCATTGTCGTCATAATCATCATCAGTCACATTTGAGCACTGACTCTGAGCCAGCACTTTCTCAATTTCACCATCTCGTTTAGCTTTCACAGCAATCCTACGAGGTAGATAATGGCATCATCCCTATTTACAGAGAAGGAAACTGAGGCATAGAGGTTAAGTATTAAGTAATTTGCCCAAGGACACATAGCTAATACGTGACTGTATTGGGCCATGAATGTGGACAGTTGGCTAAGACAGAATTTCTAGCACTGAGGAGCTCACACCGTGTGTGTGTGTGTGTGTTTGTGTGTTTGTGTTTGTGTGTATGTTGTGTTTGTGTGTGTGTGTTTGTGTTTGTATGTTGTGTTTGTGTGTGTGTTTGTGTGTGTGTTTGTGTGTGTGTGTTTGTGTGTATGTTGTGTTTGTGTGTATGTGTGTGTTTGTGTGTGTGTGTTTGTCTGTGTTTGTGTGTATGTTGTGTTTGTGTGTGTGTGTTTGTGTGTGTGTGTTTGTGTCTGTGTGTGTTTGTGTGTATATTGTGTTTGTGTGTGTGTGTTTGTGTGTGTGTGTGTTTGTGTGTGAGTGCACATGCATATGTGTAAGGTTGATAGACCAATAAATGGGTGAAGCAAAACTGACAGTGGCCCTGAGAGCTCAGAAGGGAGCACCTATCTTAGACTTGCTTCAGGATGGGGAATAATTAAAGAATGTTTTCCAAAATAGCAGCTGGTTGAGGAGGAATAGGAGTGAGCTAGGAGAATTTCACTCTGTGGTTGGAGATAAAAGATTTATTCCGTAAGGGTTAAATTATAATATAAGACTCATTATGGTCTGGGTCAAAATATCGGCCCTGAGTGTCGTGTGAGAGTTGTCAGAGTGGGCATACAGAAGGGGGATCACGTTATTGTTGAAACGATAGAGAAGAATATGGTGGAGCCATTTTTGAACTGGGGAATTGGGGGAGGCGTGTTGATGAAGAGGGATTCCAGGTCTAACCTCTCACCTGATGGTTTGTCCTGGACTCTGCAATGGTCAGCGATGGGTCAGCTGACTGCCATAGCATCCCAGCCATAGGAGGAGGCGTGGTGATGGCTCTTGTTTCCTTCAATAAATGCTCATTCTTTTCATGGATTGTGAAAGTTATGCTGCATTTTCTTGATTCTAAGACCCCATTGATATTACGGACAGAATTGTGTTTCCCCCCAATTCATACATTGAAACCCTAACCCCTAACATGACAGTATTTGGAGACAGGACTTTAAAGAGGTAATTAAGGTGAGGCAAGGTCATCAGGGTGGGGCCCTGATCCAATAGGACTGGTGTCTTTATAAGACGAGGGGACCCCAGGGATGTGCATGCACAGAGGAAAGGACTTGTGAGGACAAGCAAGGAGAGAGGCCTCAGGAGAAAACAGCCCTGCCCACATCTTGATCTTCAACCTCCGGCTTCTAACTTCTGTTGTCTAAGCCACCCAGTTTGTTGTACTTCATTATGTCAGTTGCCCTAGCAAACAAATACAATTGACTTAAGACACACCATCAATTTAACAGTAATTGGGGTGAGAGGGAGAAAAAAAAGAAACACTGCATTAAATGCACAAATAGTCTGCAAGGATGCATATTAGCATCAAGAAGAAATGTTGTAGAAAACTTAGAAAATATAGAAAACACATGGAAGAGACCCTAAAAAATCTTACATAATGACAGTACCCAGGTAGGACCATTGTATTGTTTTATATCACTGATACAAATACACGAACATACTCATTTTGTGTAAAATTTGTGTTGCTGTTTTTCTCTGATGTTATAAATATTTTCTGATATCAAGACCTTTTTTCAAACTCCATTTCAATAGACGCACACCATATCACATTACACCATTTGTTCTCAATTTACCTAATCTATCATTATTACATATTTATTATGTCCAGCTTATATAACGTTTTTCCTATTTTAAATGATGCTCTGATGAAAATCTCTGGAATCTTTGCCACATCAGGGATAATTTTCTACGGGTTAATTCCCAGGCTTGGAATTAATGAAACAGAGAATGTGAACATTGTAAACAGAGGATATAAACAGAGGAGAAAAACATTTTGTGATTCTTGATGCCAAAAATTTTAGGTAATTCTATGATTCCCTTTCCTAACCTGAACACTTGATTTCAGATATGATGTGACCAGTAGATGTAAAAAAGAACCATAATTTTTCTCTCCTGGATACAATAGACAAGTTAATGCAATGTAAAGGAAAGGATTTTTTTTTGTCTTTTGTGTTTATTTTGATTTTGAGCTGGAAAACAATGGCTACCTTTGAGAAAGAGAAAATAATATAACGTGTGAAAGCCAATTCCAGGGTCTTGGAAATTAGGATGTCATCACAGTGGAGCTCTGGGTGAGGCATGGGTTGGGTTATGTCATCCAGGCCATCCTAGAGGATCCCCACTGTCACTGCCAGATCAGAACCCCTATGCAAAGGGACAGAGAGCATCTCATTGCTGACCCTTACTGGGGCTTGCCTGAGTAATGGCAGACTCCAGCCTTTATGACCAGAGACCCAGATTGCCATCTGAACACCTAGACCACCCTACCTCATTGCTCACACAGCAGTCCCCAGCTCCATGAAGTTAGACTAAAAGGTGTGCAGAAGCCTCACTGTGGGGCAAGAGGGACACCTTTGCCACTCCTCCTAGGGCAATCTTAAGTTAGGAGCCCTTAATTCTAAATTTTACGTGCCTCCCCCCCCAACCACAAGAACAACATAATGTTTTGAAAATAATTAATATGTGCCTAATTTCTGGATCCATTGTAGTTTTAACACAATGAGCTGAAAGGTAGGACTTTGAATTTTACTGGGACTGTGCTATGCTTTAACCTTGCTCTTTGGTACAATATCTTTAATATAAATCTATATGTCACATACGCTGCTGTTACATTGTTTTCATATAACCATGTTTGACACCCCATTTGACAATGTCAACATTCACAGTGGTTCCTCAATGCATTTGACAGTATCAGCCCTTAAAATGTTTCACAATACTTCCACGTAAGCACATTTGACAGGATCAGCAGTTGAAATATTACACAAAACTATGTATTTGCAGTTCTGAATACCAGCAGTGACTGTTTTCACAATATCTGTACATAGTGACTGCTCATTCATTCGGTACACATCTTGTTTTTCTTTCGAGAGCTTATGAAACACCAAGCTCTGTGATAGCCTTTTTGACGTTGGGTACAAAGATCATTAAGATTTAATGGACACGCTCATGAAATTCCAAGTAAACAAAAAATCAAATAGCTAATAACCAGCATTTATTGAACACTTACTGTGAGTCAGGATTTGAGCCAAGGGGTTTTCATGCAGCAACTCATTTCATGTAGCTACAACTGAAGAGATAGGTTATAGCAATCCCATTTTACAGATGATGAAACTGAGGTGCTGAATTGTTAAGCAATTTGTCTGAGCAAACAGCTGGATAGAAGTAGAACTTACTGCTCTCAGGCTTTCTCTCTTTACTGTGTGCTTTTCAACTTGGAATTAATGAAACAAAGAATGTGAACATTGTGAAGAGAGGATATAAATAAAGGAACGAACATTCATTATGCCATAATTATTATAATGGTGTGGGATTATAAAAGTGCCTTCAGAACAAGGTAAAGCAGGCATCAATCTCCTGGGGACATTGAAGGAAGGCTTCAGGAGAGGGAAATATTCAAAGGAACTTCAAAAGCTTAATAGAGTGCGGTCAAGTGGAGAAGATGTGAAAATGCAAAAAATGTTTGTAAATTCCAGGAGGCACTTAGTGGTTAAAGAATGGGGTCAAGTTTAGGAGGCCTGGAAGGTGTGTGAGACAGAAGCAAGATTGAGAAGACTTTGAATGTGTCAGGGAGGAAAAACTTTTCTTCTACCCTCTTAGGTTCAGTTACTGAACCTACATGCCTGACAAAAGACAGATAACAGGAGAAAAGGCACAAAATTTTTATTAATATTTATGTGAACATGAGTCCACAGAAAAAAATCAGCGAAACTCAAAGAGGCAGTTAGACTTAGGGGTTTATATACCATTTTAACAAAGGAAAGAGAATTCGGGCTTTGAAGGGATGATAAATTATGGGGAAGTGACTAGGAAATATATTGGGGAACTAGTGGAAGACAATGGTTATTTTAGTAAGGTCTGTTATGCCAACTCATCTTGGTATTGACTCCCATCTCTGGTGATAAGAGTCACTCTGCCCTCCCTTCCTAGTGCAGGGTGAGAGTCACCTTCACAAAGGGAAATTTGTCCCTGCTTTTAGACAGATTCGGGGGTCAGAGAACTCTTCCTCCATCTGTTGATTCTCAATTGCCTTCAGCTCAAAATAATCCACATGCCAAAGGGACATATTTCAGGGTGGCATATTCTGATCCCCTTCAAATGCCATGCTAAATAATTTAGGCTTTATTTTATAGCAATGAGAGGTTTTAAGCATAAATGACGTAGTCAGATTTGCATGCTTGAAAATGCAAAATTGGGGGGTTGTTAGAAGGGAAGCTGCTTCAGGCTGTGCGCCCCCTTGTGGAGAAGAGAGAGAGAGAGAAAGTGAGAGAGATGGAGAACTCTGCATTGGGATTCCCTCCCTTCTTTCCATCTTTCTGAAGGAAAGCTGGGATTTCAATTTTCATCCTCCCAGGCGGCTGCTGTCTGGAGGCTGCTCCATCTGTGCAGGGCTTATCGCTGCTGTTTCCAAGAGGCCGAGCCCCAGAGAGCCTCTTAAGTTCTACAAAGCCCACCTGGGGAGCAAGCAAACATGGAGCCTCCCCCAACCTCTTGAAGGATCTTAGTGGAGGCTGCCTGTGCCCTAGTGCACCCTTGCTGGGTCCTCAGCAAGTCTATCTTGCTCACCCCCGCTTTGCAAATATTTAACTTCAGGATCAGCTTCTCTGGGTGACATCCAAGGGGGAGCTTCAACTTTCTTGTTTATTTTAGATCCCAGGGACGCCCCCACAGGTAGACGAAGAGGGTCCAGAGAAAGGTGGGGATTCCCTAACCCCTTCTTTCTTGGCACAGACAGGCAGAGAACACCTCTTTTCTCACCCCTGGGCAGCCCCAGGAAGTCAATCCTTCCACTATTCCTGCTCCGTGCCTCTCTTCCCTCTGCCCAGATTCCTGGGAGACTCAAAACCCTGTTCAACTCTCTCTGGGCTAGCTGCTCCCCTCCCCAAGAGGATTTCTCTCCAGAGCTGGTATCATCGCTTAATGATGTTCCACCAACAAGGGGAAGGTAATTGATTGTTAAGTGAAAATATAAATTGTAATTGAATCCATCACATTTCAGTTTTTCATTATCGTGTGACAAGTCTCTTAGTGCATTGGCAAGGACTGCAGGGATCAGGGAGGGCTGGAGAGAGAGATAAGGACAGTTGTCTTCCGTTTCCTTATCCAGTGTGGTAGGCTTGCACTTTCAAATTGTAAACTGCCTCACTGGGACTCTTGCACACATGAGTGTGCATGGGTGTGCACACAGCTATGCGCTGGGTCAAATGAATTCATATTCAAGAACTGAAGTGGAATGCTTACAGGTCCTCGGCTGCGATGTGTTGGTCCAGTTTGAGCTTCAGTTTTGTATTTCTAGCTTCCCACTGGACGTTCAGTTTATTTAATAAGTTCATGCTGTCCCAAGCGTTGTGCTGCACACGCTCACTGTTTTGATCTAATTTAGTATTAAGGAGGAAGTATAGTGTGGTGCTTAGGAAGTAGACTTGAGAAACAGTTGGCTTGTATTAGTCTCGTGGTCCCACTGCTTAATAACTGTGTGGCCTTGGGCAAGTTTCTAACCTCTCTGTGCCTCTGTTTTCTCATTTGTAAAATAGGGATAATAATGAATATTTACAGTTTAGGGCTATTGTGAGGATTAGATAGGGTTAGTTTAGGTAAAGCAGTTGGAAAAATACGCCTGGTTAAAAACTGATACCAAATGATTTTGATATCAGGGTCATGCTGGCTTTATCAAGCAAGGTGGGATTTGTTCCTTCTTCTTTATTTTCTGGAAGTGTTTGTGTTAAGTTTGGCACTCCTTCCTCCTTAGTGTTTAACAAAATTCATAGTTTTGATGACAAATCAATTTGTTTCATAGATACGGGGCTGTTTATATTTTAAAATTCTTCTTGTGTACATTTTAGGTTGAGCTTTCAACAAATGTTTCTCTTTTATCTAAGTCAAATTTGGAGGCATAAAGTTGCTCCTTTTATTATATTTGTCTATAGGATCTCTGAAGATCTTCCTTATTGTACTTCTGATACTGGCAATTTGTGGTTTACTTTCTCCTTTACTTCTTGATCATTCAAACTGAGGAGATTATCAACATTATTAACTTTTTCCAAAAAACAACCTCTGACTTTGCTGATTGTCTTTATTGGTTGTCTCTTTCCGTTGCATTTATTTGTCATCTATTTATTGTCTTATTTCTTGTACCTACTCTGGGTTTAATTTACTCTTCATTTCTTAGCCTCTTAAGGTCGTGGTTTAGATGATTGCTCTAATGTGTTTCCTGTTTCCTGAGATAGGCTTCTGAAGCTATACATTTCCCTGTTAGCACTGCTTTAGGTATAGCCTACACAATTTGAAATTGTTAACATTCCACTGAAAATATTCTGTGCTTTCTTTTGTAATTTATTCTTTGATCTTTGGACTATTTAGCAGTATGTTTAATTTCCAAATATTGGGGTGATTTTCTTGGTGTGCTATTGAGATTAGTATCTAATTTAATGCCGTTGTCACCAGAGAATATACTCTTTATGTTATTGGTCTTTTGAAATTTATTGAGACTTTCTAATGGCCTAGCATATGGTTTTTTGGGACATTTTCTGTGCACTTGCAAAAAAATGTATATTTTACAGTTTTTGGTCTGTTTTATAAATGTCAGTTCCATGAAGCTGGTTGATTGAGTTGTGCAGATCTTCTATCTGCTCTCTCCTTTTTTTTTCTTCAACTTGTTCTATCAACTATTGAGAGAAGAGAATTTAAAGTCTCCATTTATCTTTGTGGATTTGTCTATTTATCTTTTTAGCACAGCCACTTTTTGCTTCAGATATTTTGAAGCTCTGTTTTAAGGTGCATACACATTTAAGATGTTTATATATCTTTAATGGACTGAAACTTTTATAATAATAAAATGTCCTTTTATATCTCTACTAGAATTCTGTGTCTTGAAGTCTACTTTAATATAGCTACACTATTTTTCTTATACTTAATGTTTGTATAGTATATTGTTTTCCATATTTTACTTTCAATCTATCTGTGTCTTTATATTAAAATTATGTTTACTGAAAGCAACATAAAGGCTTTTCTTGCTTTTCATTCAGTCTGATAATTTCTGCTTCTTAAAAAGAACATTTAGTTAATATGCATACTTACTGATATGATTGCTTTTAAGTCTAACATCATGTTATTATTTTGTATTTTCCATTCTGTCTTTTGTATCTTTTTATCTTTTTCTCCTTTATTCATTCTTCCTTGTTTTGCGTGAATGAAGCATTTTTAGTATTCCATTGTACCTTTACTATTGATCTTTTTGTTATACCTATTTGTACTATTTTTAAAATGATTGTTGTAGTGATGACACTATTCATCTTTAACTTACCACAGTCTCCCACTCCCATGGTGCCATTTTTGCCCGTTAAAAATTATGGATGGCTCAACCCCAACTCTTCTGGAAATTATGGACTACATGTTGAGCACCCCTGATCCAAAAATCTGAAATCTGAAATGCTTCAAAATCCAACATTTTTTGAGTGCTGACTTGATGCCACAAATAGAAAATTACACACCTGCTCTCATTTGACAGGTCTCAGTCAAAATGAGTCAAAAGTTTGTTTCCTGCACAAGGTTATTAAAAATATTGCATAAAAATCACCTTCAGGGTATGTACATAAGGTGTATATGAAATGTAAATGAACTTTTGTGTTTAGACTTGGGTCCCATCCCCAAGATATCTTATTATTTATATGCAAATATTCCCAAATCCAAAAAAATCTGAAATCCAAAACATTTCTGGTCCTAGACATTTCAAATAAGTGGTACTCAGCCTGTAATATTATTTCATGAATAATGTAAGAAATTTATACAGTAAAATTCCATTTACCCTTCCTACACTTTGTTCTTCTATGTTTTTTACTTCTACATATGGTATTAATTCCATAATACATTTTTAAAATTTTTGCTTTATATGGTCTGTAGGTTGTTAAAAGTGTGTGTGTGTGTGTGTGTGTGTCTATGGATAGATTTAGAGGGGAAGAAAGAAAAAGAAAGAAATGAGAGAGAAAGAATAAAGGAAAAAAACTCTGAAAAGTATTTACACACATTTTAAAGCTTTTATGATCTTCTTTATTCTTCTGTAAAGATCCAAGTTTCCATCTGGTATCATTTCCTGCAGCCTGAAATACTTCTTTTAATATTTCTTATAGTGCAAATCTGTTGGCAAAAAATTCAGATTTTGTTTATCTGGAAAAGTCTGTATCCCACCCTCATTTTTGCAAGGATATTTTGCTGGATAAAGAATTCAAGGCCAGCATGACTTATAATGCTTTTGTCTAATTAAACATCTCATTAAATTGTTTTCTGGACTCCACTGTTTCTAACGAAGTCAGCCATTCTTTGTCATGTATGAATGTCGTGGATCTATGTCTTTCCTTTGATTTTCAGCAGTTTGACTGGTTGCCAAGATGATGGTTTGGTTTGTTTTGCCCCTGCTTGTCGTTTATTGAGATTTTCTGAATCTTTCAGTTGATGTAGAATTCTTGGCTGTCATCTTTTCAAATATTCCCTTTGCTTCATTCTATCTTTTTTCCTGGGACTTTGACTTCATATATGTTAGACCATCTGATATTATTTCAGAGATCTCAGATGCTCTGTTTCTTTTTTTCTCTGCAGTCTTCTCTCTACCTATTTTAATTTGGATAATTTCCTGTTTTCTAGTTGACAAATCCTCTTTTGTACTATATCTAGTTTGTAACCCTGTCAAATGAACTATCTATTTCTGAGATTGTAGTTCTTTTATTTGTTTTTAGCATTTCTATTTTGTTCTCTTTTATAGTTTCCCTCTCCCTAGACAAATTCCCCATCTTTTCACATATTGTCCACAATTTTTTGGATCCTTTAATGTATTTATCATACATTTTTTCCCCCAAACTCCCTGTATGATAAATCCAACAACTGGACCTTCTCTGGATCTGATTTCATGGCTCTTTTCTTGGACCATGGTAAAACTTTCTCGGTTCTTTGTGTATCTCCTAAGTTTTTTACTGTGTGCAAAAACATACATATAAAAGGACTGAAGGTGTAGAATAAACTTTATCCCCAAAAAGAGCACACCCCTTTTCCTGCAAGGCTGGGACTGCGGAAGGGTGAGTTAATCCCATATGGAGTTGAGCTGAGCCTTGGCTTTGTTGCAGCTTTGGTCAGATTTAATTTCCTTCTAGCTTTAAATGTTTTGAAGGTATCATCAAGACTCTCCCTCCAGCAGGGCTTGCAATCTGAGAGGAGGTGAGATTTGGAGATCTCTTTAAGCCTTATAGGTTTCTGAACAATGAGAAACTCCATTTTCCAACCCTATCGCCAACTTTTTGGGTCACTGAAAAATTTTGTATTTTTTTTCCAGTCCCACCCCTGGCTTTCTATTCCTTGGGAAGTCTCTTCCCATCAGGCTACCCCACTCCTGGCCTTTGGATGGCTACTGCAGGACACTATGTGAAGAGCTTCACAGTTTTAAAGGGGTTTCCTCTGCCTACTCGGTCCCAGCTTTAGTCGGCTGTTCTGATCACTGGATGCAAGTCTATGGTGTCTCAGGGAGATTTTTGCAGTTCTCTTTCCCTGCCCCTCCCCACCTGCAATGCGTCTCAGTGTGTTGCACTTAGAGAGGGCCTCATGTGCCTTGGGAGGGGAGATATCTTTCAGGTCTCTGGCCTGCCCCAATCTTTAATACACTACTCCCATACACTTGTTCTAGGTCTGTGGGAAATGTTTGGGGGCTGGATACCGAGTTATTCTCTGAAAGGGATCCCATGGACCTCTCGTCTTTACCAGCTCACACATGGCCATGGGAGGCTTATAAAATTCTTTGGTTTGTGTTCCTTCTTTCACCACACCACTAGGGACGACAGCAGCTGTAAGTCTGTACTCTCCAAGAAAGGGCTCATTGCTTTCTGGAATTTAACTCATTTAGGTTTATTGACATCCTTGGCTCTCTAATGAGCTTAAAAACTATAATTTTATAGCCTATTTGGCTTCTTCCAATGTTAGGATGGCAGTAACATCCCCTTGTGACTCTACATCCTAAACAGACATTCATACTTTACAGCTCTACTCTCTAGAAGCGTTCACTGAGGCAATAGCACGTTTCATATCTGGACGGTGAAAGATTATTTAACTCCAACCAATAGTTGTTTCTTTCTTCTGACAGCTAAAGATCCAGCCATATAGATGCAGACATCAACATTCTTAAATAAAGCTTTTCATTTTTCCAGGTCATTGCTCCTAACATTTGGAAAGCAATACCTAGAGGCATATTAATCTGAATAGGCTGATTTTTGGCTAGGAAGGTTTAATAAAGCAAGTTATTTTCTCTCTGACTTTGAGCAGTAATTTGAACCAGTTCTTCAGCACAGCAGAGACCAAGGCACTCCTTTTGCCCCTTTCTATGAAGGCAAGGCCCATTCTCTGGGGAAGAAGGGGGATAGTTTTGTAAAGTGGAAGAAGTATCTAGGTCCTTTTCTATTCTTATTTTTTCTGTAGTCAGTGACAACTGGTCTAAATGTTCCCCAGTATTCACCACCCATTTGACATAAGAACAACTTCTACTCTAAGTGGGGTTTGATTTATTCTGGAAGTCCAATCTGCCTTTGTTTGGGTTTGAGGCTCTACTCCTCATGGTAACTTGACATCCCACAGTGTCCTTTGGGAGGAGTGCTGAGGGACCACTAGACACTGACAAGGTAGCGTAGGGGGCAAAAGGGCTCGGTTAATTAGGAGGAGGTGGCAAGTGTGCACCCTGTCAAAAATCACAGCTACTGCAAGGAGTACTACTGTTCCTGTAAACCCTTGAGCTCTATTAGGAGGAAAAAAAAAAAAACCTGGTAGGTAGGCATGGTTACAATGCCAGAGGTAATGAGCCATTTTTCATAGTGTAGTAATAATTTTAATTAATAAAGATCACTGCATAGTTCTTGACACTCACAGATGTGAGCATTCACCTAGAATGTACTTAGGAGGGTGTGTGTCTGCACGCATGCAGGCTGGAGAGGCCATTCCGCTCCACGCTCCTGTTCTACGCTCCTGGTATCAAAGCCACTCTCTGGGACTTGGGTTTGGTGTATAATGAAGAAGCAGGAAGAGCAAACTTCAGGCCTATTTCTAGAGAAGAATAGAAACACTTTCTTTAGTAGTATGTCTAGACAGATCCATAAAAGTTAAAAGAGGCATATTTCCAACAACTTTATCATACAATCAGAAAAAAAAATCATCTGGAACTACTAGTATAACACGATTGAGATACTGGTGATATAGAACATAAACTCTGACCCCAGGTCAATTTTGCTACTAGCTTTGGTGATTGTCAACTAACGTTACAAGCATCTTCATAGATTTTTTAATCTACTTCCACTGACTTCTTATGTAGTCTTGAGGAAGCCATCAAACTTGTTTCTATTTTTTTGAGTATGGTCTTCAGAGCCCTACTTGATATTGCCAGTTGGATGTCTAATACCCAACTAAGACTGGACAAGTTCAATTCAGAACTCTTGATTCTTCCTCAGACTTCCTTAGCCCCAATTCCTTAGCCCTCATTCACCTGTTTCAAAGCCACAGCTCTAAGCACCACCTTTACTTTTTTACAATTTGTTTTATTCTCCATATCCAAACCATGTGCAAATCCTGTTGGCTTTACCTACGATGTATACCCCAATCCATCCACATTGTGAATGCACATGTGTGTGCAATGTGCATGTGTATGTGTGCATATATGTGTAAGTGTGTTTATATACATATGTACATATGGATATATATTTTATCCCTCTCTCCTCACTGTTTCTGTAGAATATGAGCAAAGATCTTGACTATCAGCTTTGTCTCTCTAGTGTTTAGGACACTTTGAATAACTGAATGAATCTCCAAAGAAACATCTGGAATTGTAGTCAGGGATTGAATATGTTCTACACTGGAGACACCAAGCTCCAGAGAGGCAGAATTATTTACTTAATTTTACTGGAGAAATAATTTATTGGTCCAAACAGATACTGGAAAGATGCCTGGCAATGATAAAGAACATGAATTTAATGTTCTTTGGGCCAGGTTTGCCTACTGACAGTCTAAGGTTCTGATCTGGCCTGTACAGTGTTATAAAATTGTTGAGTTACTTGAAAACATAAAACAAAGTGGATTTTCTGTATCTCTTGAAAGTGTGGGTTGTCTGGCAACACAGGATGTGCATTCCTGTCTAACAACATTCTGATGCTAGAGTTGAGAAGTGGCTGCCCTTGAGTCAAGGTGCTATTCTCCAGGTGGCCAAGGAAGATTCTGTCCCAGCCCATTTCACTAATTTGCATGACCTGCCTGGTTTCCGTGGGTCTCTGAACCTGAGACCCTGGTCAATCTGGATTTCTACAGACCCTCCTATGAACAGGCAGGTAGCAAGCACTTCCCTAGTGCCCTTCTTTTATAATCAGCCTGGGATCAGTCTCCAGTTCTAAATGGGCACATGGAGATTTCAGAGCCAGTACCTGGTCCCCACGTAGGCCTGGTCACATCATACCACAACCCAGCATCTTCCTTATTCTCTGGTTATGTCCCAGATGTTTTAAAAAAAATATGGTGAAGAGAGGGTGCCCAGCTAGTGTTAACCACAGCCACCACTCTTGGAGACATGACTCAAAATTAAGACCTGCTAATTTGGTTTTTAGGGTCATCTGCCAAGGACTATTTTGACTGGAAGGAGTCATGGCTCAAGTGCTATGCCCTTCTTTGTCACCCCCAGCCAGGACATTTCCTCCTCCACTTCCCTGGGTCAACATAACACTAGTGTCAGGCACGGGGGTCTTTGCAATCAATCTTTCATCCCCTTCACACTTGTATGCTTGGGAAGCTGGGACCCTTCCAGGAAAAGAAAAAGTGTACCTGGGTCAGAGTTGGGGTGTCCCTCATCCCATGTTCTTGTCCTCTCAAATATGTGGCCAATTTCCTGGAGATTTCTGTATCCATCAAGGGTGGCAGGAGGTCAGACTTCTATGAGAAATTACTCCCTAAGATGAAGTGGTGAATCCGAATTTCTCTTAATGTTTACACAACCATACTGCATAGCTGTGGAGTCTAGGAGATTTCCCTTGGGTTAGAAATGCCTATTCATTTTGTTATGTTGGTGGGTTATTCTGAGTCACAGAAGGAATACAAATAGACAACACGAAAGCAGCACATGCATGGCATAAAGCTCAGACTCAGATGCAACCTCCACATTCCACACAGTGGTCACATCTCAGATGTCTTCTCATTTATCCAATTGTTGTTTTAGAACATCCAATGATCAATATGTTTCACTCCTGTCTGGGAGGCTCCAGTAATGAACAAAAGGCATTGGCTGTGGAGAACGCCACTTTCTATGATTACAAGCAATTTGCTAGTTTTCTCAGAAGAAGAGCTTAAGAGGAGTTCATGAAATGTCTGCTTTCAGAATCATTAACTATTGATTAAACTCCCCATTTTACTTTGCACAAATTCTGTTAAAAAGAAATAACAGGGTGAATAACAGTGCTGACCACCGTGCGATCACGGGGCGGCACAGCCTGAGTCAGTGCATGATGTGCTCAGTTTCAGGCTCTTTGGAGAGGAGAGCTGATTGGGAGCATTCGCCTGTCCTGGGTACCTGGTTTCTGCGACAGCTGTATCTTTCACTGTTGAGCTCATCCTTTATATTGATTTCTATTAGTGAATTTATAAATACAGCCTGAGGAATGCTACCCATCCCGCAGCTCTTGAACCATCATTATGATCCAGAATGGTAAATTCTTTGTAGGAGTCACCTTGGTTCAGTTGGGAAAAAAATTACTGATGCGCTTTGAAAACCTAGAGTTCAAGTTTTTTTTTTTTTTTTTTTTTTTTTTTTTTTTTTTTAATATAGCTGAATAGGATTTTAAGAAAGCAGAATTGTAATGTGGAGTGAAAAGAAAAGCGAGAGGTTGGGTCGGAAACTAGGTTATCAGTACAATGCAGAAAGGGAAAATAAATGCTAATAGACTGCACATATGCCCTTCCCACTAGATTAGAGACCAGGAGGGCGCCTGCTGGATTCGGCCCATTGTGTGGCCGAACAGAACACAGGGTCTGGGCTATTATCCCCTCCACAGCCCCTTGTGCCACAGATGGTTCTTCTTGCTTCTCTTATCGGGCCGTGCATTCAGTCTCTGTAGCTTGATCTCTTCCTCACTCTTCTGCTCATACAAAATGGATTGATCTGCTGAAAGAGAGGGGCTGGAGAGAGGCTGTCTCGGGAGGAAAGGGGAGGGTGTGAAGACAAAAGCCGGGGAGGCCAGGTGCAGTGATGGGGTGGGGAGGGAAGAGAGAGACTCAGTGCCTTGCTGGGGACAGCCCCGTTAGCAGTCAGCAGCCTTGTCTCCCCTAGGCCTCGAGCTCAGCCGCCTGGAAAATGGCCTTGTGCCTTTGTGCTCTGGACAGCCAAAGCTCTCAGGTGTTGAACAAGCAAGCAGCGCTGACTGCCTTTTCTCCCTTCCCTGGGGATGCTGAACGTCTAGGGCTGGCGTTGCTGGTGGTCCCCTCCCAGGAGACCCAAAGCTCTGCCTTTGAGCTGACTGACGAGCTGCAAATTCAGCAAAGGTGAGCAGGGGTTGAGAACCGTGGCCTTATGAGAGACAGCCCTCCCAGGAGAGCCAGCTGTCCCAAGACAGCCTACCTGGAAGGATGGAAGGGTCATTCCTCAGGGCTGAATCCAGAGCCCAAGGTGTGCTGAACACAAGTCTCCTCCTGATCTGGATCCACAAGAGGTTGTATGACTGAGAGCACATCCAGGCTCCTTTACTTACAAGCTGTGGGGCCTCCAGACATTTGCCCAGCTGTATTCATAGTGTTACTGGTGAAGATTAAATGGGTTGGTCATGGAAAGATCTCAGAACAATGAGTGGCTTAGAATAATACCTTAAAACTTAGCTATGATTTTCATCATCATCATGGTCATCATCATCATCATCATATATCTATATTAGAACCATTTTCTATTAACATTACATATTATCAGTATTACAATGTACCTCCGTATGAGACATCATGGCATAATTGAGAGAACATGGACTTTGTGGACAGGCAGTTTGAGACCTCACCCTGACACTCAAATCACACAGTATTTGTGTGATTTTTGGTGTGTTACTTCTCTTTTCAAGCCTCAGTTTCCTAACTGTGAGGTGGGGCTAATGCTATAAATTACCCAGTACAGAGCCTGCACATTAGAGCAGTTCGATACATGGGAGCTGTCACTCTTCAGAATAGCCCATGCAAACACATGTTATGTGTACCTGTGCGTGCCTGTGTGTCATTGAGTTTGGGTGGTCAGTTTCTGCTGGTGTGTGTTGAACATAGAACCTAGAAGCAAGTGTCTGAAACAGCAGAACAGACTGGGACAGGGAGAGGCTGGCAAGAAGGAATGTAAGCAGAATCAGAGACAAGGACCTCAGAATTCCAGTCCTGGTTCATTGCCCTAATACCTCTTTCCCTTCTTCCTGTGGCAGGTGCCTGTGGGCTACAGGCCTGGGCCTTAATGGGTCAAGTCCTGCTTGTGGCTCCTGTCAACCTTCAAGCACAACTTCTCTCTCTCCTGGAACTGAGCAGCTTTGTGTACTTTGAAGCCCCTAAATGCAGTTTGGGGGGCTCTTGATCAGGGAGTTAAGAGGTTCAAGTTAATCCTGGCTCCCCATCAGTGGAAAATGAGGAATAGCGCAAGGACCTTTTTCTCAATGTGCCTTAGTTTCACCATCTGTAAACAGAGGGCTGGGGCAGACAAATCCCATATCCCCTGTCCCCCACAGCAAAATCTTACATCCAGATGAAGTGTGTCCTGTCCTCTGAGCATCTTTTTGCTGCATCTTTGCAAGGAAGATTGTAAATGTCGGTGTGAACGTAGAAAGAAGTGTCTGAAACAGCAGAACTGACTGGGACAGGGAGAGGCTGGCAAGAAGCAATGTAAGTAGAATCAGAGACAACGACCTCAGAATTCCAGTCCTGGTTCCCTGCCCTAATACCCCTTTCCCTTCCTCCTTGTGGAACAAGGTAACTTTATCTGAGCAAGAGCTGAAGGGAACCCTAAAGGGAAAGTCTGAACTTTCCCAGGTTCCAGGTGCTGTTGCTCTAATTATTAATAATGATTAATACTGGGGTCTTGCTTTGACCTTGGTGGGCACACCCCTGAGTGGTTCTGCTCTGAGCCCTGAGAGGCAGGGCTCCACCCCTGCTTGTGCAATGTGCCTACACAACCCCAGGGAGCAAGATTCACATTCATTGTCATCCTAAGTTTATATCACCATTATAAGAATTTTCCAGCAGATGGCCATAAAGTGTCTTGAGAAAGCAATGCCCATTTCTTCTTTTGCAACTTGCACAAGGTCACCATATTGGCTAGCAAGGGGTCCGTGAGACCGCATCTCCTTTTGCTGCCACCCTACAGGCCAGGCCTCTTCCCCTGTCTGCTCTTTAGCCTTCCCTGAGCCTCCTCCTTCCAGGTCCCTTGCCACATCATCCTTCCTTCTCCCTCACCCCTATGCTTGGTGTGCCTCTGAGATTTTCCCTTAGTAATTGAAGGAATCTGAGAGGTAAAATGAAGAGCCGCAGGAGAAGGCACACAGCTACAAGCTGTAGAGGGCTTCGTGTCTCAGTTTTGCCCTGAGTGTTTTGGAACATGATGTGCGGAGTCACATCCCTGGTAGTTTTCATGTATGACCTCTCCTCTTTCTGCATTCTTAAGCTGCACTTCTCCTTCCCCATCCATTCTCTCTTGTCCAATATTCCTGGGGTCAAAGAGCCTTAGTCTCCTCTTCCTTCCAAAAGAAATGCCTTATCCTCAGTATGCATTGCTATACCTCTTGCCCTGACTCCAGAATCTTAAGTGTTAAGTCTTAATGCCAGGCCTATGAATATAGAAGTCTGGGATGAGATTTGCTGATGGAAAGAGGAGGCACCAGGCTCTATCTCCCTAGAAATTCGCTCCTCCATGGAGGATATGACCCAAGAAACTCTTAGAAACAAAGCCAGAGTAACCACCAACCACATTAACCCCACACAGGAGGGGTACTACTTTTAGAATGGGCACTCTGAGGCCTGAGGATATGAGGCTCTTGGATCCTGGTGTGCCCTGATGTATAGTGCCTTTTGCCTTCAACAAGAAGCTCATCTTTTTGAAGGAAACTTTAGCTAGAATCTAGAGAGTTGGAGTTCGAGCCCTGCCTCTGATATTTTCTACCTGTGCCACCTATATTAGGTGGAAGATGCCATATACATGGCTGGAATTTTTAACCTGTCCCCTTCTCTTTCTCTCAGGCAGCAATGAGGTTTTGAGACCTGGCAGTTTTAGGTGGACTGTCTCCACCAAGGATAAATAAACATTATTTACATCTGGTGATTGACTTTCACATCCATCTTTATTTCTCCAGCATTTGATATTAAGCCCCTGCTAAACATCAAGCTTGTCATGAAGAAATGAGGTCAGCACACAAAGGGAATGCCCCTTGGAGAAACTCAGCACTCCATTTGGAGCTAACTGGACCAATTCTTGACCAGTGAAAAGATAAATCCAGTGTAAGGTGCAAGCACCTGCTTTTAACATGATGCCATTGTGATTTTAGCTGCTGCTCACAGGTAACTATCGCTCTTCAAGTCTTTCCTTCCTTGTACTAGTTAATTCTCACAGGCCAGACCTGTAATTGAGGGATGAGATTTACACATTTGCAGCCCCCGGCTTTCCTTCTCGGCTTTCCACTCCAATTAGGTTCCCAAGACATGAATCTACAGATGATCCATTTTCCCAGATCCAGAGCTGAGCCCTGATGAAGCCACACATCTCACCTCACGGTGGTGCAGTTCTGTGGGGAGGCCGTCTCTGCAGGATGGAACCCCTTCCCTCTCAAGAGGTGCCAGGAACCCAGACCTATCACAAGGTGACCCCACTTGGGGGTAGTTCAGGGATCTGCCTGAACCACTTCCTTCTTTGATTTTCCACAGGGTCACTTGCAGAACAAAACTGACTCTGGGAAAAGAAAGTCTTCAGTATTTTGAATCCATTGATACACAGGTGAAACAAATCAGTTTGCATTTTCCCTATACTTTCAACACTTTGTTTCTGAATAATAATAAAAGAGTTCCTGAAGCAAATACTATTTTGAGCCTAATTTCTGGAGGCTCCTAGCAGGCAAATCACTCTTTCTCTTGCGGTGATGTTCTTTTTAGTCTTAAAAAGAAAAGACTTAAGGGAAGAAGCTGTCTTTTATTTTTCAAACATTGAGCAGGTGCCTTGAGGAAGAAGCCCTGGGTGCCTTGGTGGCTGCGGTGGGTAGAACAGGGGGAGACAGGTAGAGGGGGCAAGTGGAGATTTGGACTGGAAAATAGAATACTCCAGTTCAGCAGTTCCCAACCAGGCTGTACAGTAGAGCCACTTGGGGATGTTTTAAAAAGAACCAATTCCCGCTCCCCTCCCTAGGTAATACTGATTTAGCTTGTCTGGCACAGGGCCTGGGAATCTGCATATTTGAAAGACCCATTCTCTACCTAGGAAATCAGAATTATTACAGGAGAAGTGTGGGAACTATATTTTAAAAAAATGGCTGGCTAGGCACGGTGGTTCACACCTGTAACCCCAGCACTTTGGGAAGCCAAGGGGTGGGGGGGTGGATCACCTGAGGTCAGGAGTTCAAGACCAGCCTGGGCAACATGGTGAAACACTGTCTCTACTAAAAATACAAAAATTAGCTGGGCACAGTGGCGTGTGCCTGTAATCCTAGCTACTTGGGAGGCTGAGGCAGGAGAATTGCTTGAAACTGGGAGATGCAGGTTGCAGTGAGCCAAGATTACGCCATTACATCCAGTCTGGGCAACAGAGCAAGACTCCGTCTCAAACAAACAAACAAACAAACAAACAAAATGGCCCACAGTGATTCTGAGGCAGCCAGGTCCTGGTGCACAGACTGGCATTTTCTAAAAACTAATGGCTATTTCAAGTTGCTCCACAAAGTTTTGGGGCTCCCTTTTGTGGTACAGCACCCTGTCACTTGCTAGAGCACTCAAGCAGGCACTTGTACAGGTGCTGCAGGGAGCTCCTTACTCAAGGGTGGGGCTGCCAGTGATCTCACAGATGTCCTCTGACTTTGCATCAACAGCTGGAGATGTCATCCTTGTCCCACAAAGCTGTTCTGTCTGATGTAAAGCCATGTTCAGGTTTATGCCCAAGGTGAACAGAAGA
Source organism: Homo sapiens (assembly GCF_000001405.40). Classification (NCBI taxonomy): domain Eukaryota; kingdom Metazoa; phylum Chordata; class Mammalia; order Primates; family Hominidae; genus Homo; species Homo sapiens. The sequence goes on along the minus strand of NC_000002.12, from coordinate 23,184,594 downwards.
CGGGCCTGGTGCAGTGGCTCCTGCCTGTAATCCCAGCACTGTGGGAGGCCCATGTGGGAAGATGCTTACCATGTTCAAGACCAGCTTGGGCACCATTGTGAGATCCTGTTTCTACAGAAAAATAAAAAAAGTAAAAATTAGCCAGGTGTGGTGATGTGTGCCTATAGTCCTAGCTACTTGGGAGGCTGAGGTGGGAGGATTGCTTGAGACCAGGAGTTTGAGGCTGCAAAGAGCTATGATTGTGCCACTGCACTCAAGCCTGAGTGACAGAGAAAGACCCTGTCTCCAAAATGAAAAGACAAAACAAAAGAAAAACACATGTTTGGGTGGAAAGAAAGAGGCCGGGGTGGAAGTGGTGGAGGTGGGTGGTGGAGTCTTCTTTAAGCCATGATAGCCGCACTTGTGCCAACCTCTGTAAACCCTGGGAGTAAACTATGGGCTTTCCTGCATTGAAAATTTTGTTTTACAAAAATCTTTCTTTTTGGTTAAAGCACACTGCACATTCCTCTCCATGTATCCGCTTACGCGTCCACTAAGACTCACCACACATCCCATTTTCCATGAAGCCCTCATAATGTAATTAGCAGTCACCTCTGCATGGCAGAGCCTGAGAACAGCACTGGCATCATGAGATGGGAGCCAGGTCCTAGATGGGGACCTTGGACTTAGGCTGGGAGCCAGTGGTGCCTGGGGCTCCTGAAGCCTTCACACCCAGTGTACCTAGCAGGCCTTGGTAGCCTGTACATCACCAGTGATAATCTGCATATCTATGGGAGAGACACAATAAGGCTTCGCCCATGCCAGGTGGGAGAGAGCTTAATTTAATCCTCCAGGGTTGTATGTTTTAAAATCAAACAAAACAGATCAATTCTTAAGTCTGAAGACCTAAGTTTGGTTCCTTTTTAGTCAGAGATCTTGGACAAATCAATGTTTTCGATCATCAGATTTCTCATCTGTAATATTGGGGTAACAGTACATAATTGGGTTTTCAAAGGGGTTGGGTAAGATTATGTTCAGTGCTGTGTAAATAATAAATATTATAGAAGTATGAAGAGTTATTACTGCTACCTAAAACTCTGGGCTTAGGAGAATTATGGAAAGCTAACATCTGAGTCAAAGGATTTTATTTGATGTTTTGAACCCCAATTTCTAAGAAAAAAATGTACCTCTCCTTCTTTCCCTCCCTTCATGCGAGGCACATTTATTGGACACTCACTATGAGGACTTGGCACTGGGATACTAAGAGGAACAAGACCAGGTCTTTGCCTTCGTATACCTCGTAGTCTAGCGAGGAAGACAGACTGATAAAGAAATAGATTATTCTAAATTGTGATGTGTACTGTGATAGAGGAATGTCCTGGGTTTAGAGATTGGGAAGGGCAGGGAATGATTAAGTAGAGGCAGGAAGGGCTTCTTTGTAAAGCTAATACTTGCACTGTGTCTTGAAGGAATTGTCCAGGAAGATATGGAGGTATGAAGGGCCTTTCTGGTAGAAAAGACAATAGAGCTTGGTTCAGATAATGAGAAAACACACAAACGGAGGAGCTTGATTGTGATTTTAGCCCTAGAGAAGGAGCAGATTTATAGTAATTTTAGTGACTCTGAGCTAGGAAAGACTATTGGACACTTGTATTCTTCACATAAAACAGGATAAAAAGGATGAGAGGATTGGAGATAGAAGTGGGATCTTACAGAATCTTGACAGTGAGAAGTGTTGATCATAAAAAATGGCATTCAATACAGAAGAATATAAACTTCTGTACTTGTATTCAAAACCTAAACTGCCTGTGAATAGGGTGGAGGAGACAGTGCCAAGCTGAGGTATGTACTGAAAAATTCAATACATATACCCAACGGGATAATGTGACCTAAAATTCTAATTGGCCCACAGAAGTCATTACATGAGATGACATAGCAATAAATGCACATTAATATCATGTGGGCAGCTTTAAGAAAAATATGGATACTTACAGCCATCCCCGTATCAATCAGATCAAAGTTTTTAGTGGTGAGGCCCAACTCCAGGTCTTGTTCAAAATCCTCCTACATGATTTAGAAGTGCAGCTATGGTGGAGAATCATTGTAATAAACTGAAGTGACTAACAAAACTGCCTCCCCACAGACGTTCAAAACTGGTAACTCTCCCGTGACCAATATGTCACTGCCCAGAAAGAAGCATTGACTGCTTTCCTTAATCCCTACTGGTTAGACTGTGTGGGCTGCTTTCTTATGGCAACTGCCTCATCAGATGGACAGGTGGAACTTCCTGTCAATTGCTAAGAGTATATTTCAAATCTCCCAATATAATTGTGGATTTGTCTATTTCTCCCTTTAATTCTGACAATTTGTGCCTAGTGTATTTTGAGGCTCTGTTATTAGGCTGATATGAATTAACAATGTTACACCTTTCTGATAGATTGACCTTTTTGCTTTCATGAAATGTCTCTATCTGTGGTAATACCCTTAGTCTTGAAATATGTCAGATACCAGTACAATCAGTCCAGCGTTCTTATGCTCAGTGATTGCATAGTAAATATTTCATTAATCATTTATTTTCAACCCATCTGTGGCTTTATCTTTAAAGTCCATCTCTTTTTTTTTTTCGTTTTTTTTTGAGATGGAGTCTCGCTCTGTTGCCCAGGCTAGAGTGCAGTGGCGCGATCTCGGCTCACTGCAAGCTCTGCCTCTTGGGTTCACACCATTCTCCTGCCTCAGCCTCCCGAATAGCTGAGACTACAGGCACCCGCCACCACGCCCGGCTAATTTTTTGTATTTTTAGTAGAGACGGGGTTTCACTGTGTTAGCTAGGATGGTCTCGATCTCATGACCTTGTGATCCGCCCACCTCGGCCTCCCAAAGTGCTGGGATTATAGGCGTGAACCACCGTGCCCGGCCTCTAAAGTCTATCTCTTATAGACATCATATAGTTGGGTTTTGCTTTTTTAGTAGAGACGGGGTTTCACTGTATTAGCCAGGATGGTCTTGATCTCCTGACCTTGTGATTTGCCTGCCTCGGCCTCCCAAAGTGCTGGGATTACAGGCGTGAGCCACCGTGCCCGGCCAAGGGGTTTTGCTTTTTTAACCATTCTGAAAATCTCTGCCTTTTAACTAAAGTGTTTAGTCCAATTAAATTTAATGTAATTTTGATATGGTTGAGTTTCTACATAATATTTTACTACTTATTCTATTTGTTTTATATTTGTATTAGTCCATTTGTAATGTTATAAAGGAATACTTGAGCCTAGGTAATTTATGAAGAGGTTTATTTGGTTCTGCAGGCTGTACAGGAAGCATGGTGCTGGCATCTGCTCTTGGTGAGGGCCTCCAGCAGCTTTCAATTGTGGCAGAAGGCAAAGGAGGAGCAGGCATGTCACATGGTGAGAGAGGGAGTGAGAGAGAGAAGTGAAGGTGCCAGGCCCTTTTTAAACAACTAGCTCTTGGGTGAACTAATAATGTCAGAACTCATTACCATGGAAGGGCACTTCATGAGTGATCTGCCCCCATGACCTAAACACTGCCCTCTAGGCTCCACCTCCAACATTGAGGATGACGTTTCAACATGAGATTTGGAGGGGACAAATATCCTCAACCATATCAATGTTTTTCTCATTTTTCTTTTTGTTCCTCTGTCGCTTCTTTCCTGAATTATTTTGGGTTAACAGAATATTTTATAGAATTCAATTTTAATTCATTTCATTGGCTTTTTAGCTATACCTCTTTACATCATTTGTTAGTGTTTTTATGTGTGTGTGTGTGTGTGTGTGTGTGTGTGGTGGTAGTGGTTCTCACACAGGGGTGATTTTATTTCTCAGGGGAATTTGGCAATGTCTGGAGACATTTTTGGTTGTCACAACTAGAGAAGTACTACTGGCATCTGGTGAGTGGAGGCCAGAGATACCACTAAATATCCAACAGTGCACAGGAAACACAGCAAAGAATTATCTGGCCCCAAATATCGATAGTTCTGAGGTTGAAAAATCTTGCTCTGTGGATGACAATATACAACTGTAATTTTCACAAACTACTTAGAAGTTTCTATTTACTTCGTATAAAGAACATTGAAACTGTAGAGCAAGTTTCCTCGTGTCCCCATGCCCCCTTTTAGTGGTCAAAACACTTAACGTGAGATCTACCCTCTTGTTATGCAATGCTGTACAGCAGATCTCTAAAGCTTAATCATCCTGTGTAGGTGTAACTTTATACCCGCTGAACAATGCTTCATTCCCCACCCCCTTCATCCCCTGGCAGCCACCATTTAATTTTCTTACTCTATGAGTTTGACTATTTTAGATGCTTCGTGTAAGTAGGATCATGCAGTATTTGTCATTCTGTGACTGACTCATTCCACTTAGCATAATATCTTCCAGGTCCATCCATGTTGTTGTAAATGGTAATTTTTTTCTCCTTTTTTTAAGATCGAATAATAGTCCACTGTACCTATATAACACATTTTCTTTATCCATTCATCTGTCCATGGACATTTGGGCTGTTTTCATATCTTGACTATTGTGAATAATGCTACAGTGAACATGGGAATATAGGTATCTCTTCAAGATCCTGATTTTAGCTGGATGTGGTGGCTCACACCAGTAATCTCGCCACTTTAGGAGGCTGAGGAGGGAGGATTGCTTGAAGCCAGGAATTCAAGACCAGCCCAGGCAACAAAGTGAGACCCTATCTCTACAAAAAATTAAAAAGTTTCCTGGCATGGTGGTTTGTGCTTATAGTCTCAGCTACTTGGGAGTCTGAGGTGGGAGGATTGGCTGAGCCCAGGAGTTTGAGGCTGCAATAAGCAATGATTGCACCACTGTACTCCAGCCTAAATGACAAAGTGAGACCCTGTCTAAAAAAAAAAAAAAAATCCTAATTTGAATTCTTTTGGCTCTATTCCCCAAAATAGATACATGGTAGCTCTATTTTTAGTTTTATGAGAAATTGCCAACTGTTTTACATTGTGGCTGTATCATTTTACATTCCTACCAAGAGTGTACAGAATTCTAATTTCCCCATAACCTTGCCAACACTTGTTGTCTTTTGTTTTTTTTTGATAGTAGCCATCCTGACAGGTATGAGGTGATATTTTATTGTGGTTTTGACTTGCATTTCCCTGATGGTTGGCGATGTTGGGCACATTTTCATATATCTGTTGGCCACATGTACGTCTTCTCTGGAGAAATGTCTATCTTTGTCCCTTGCTCATTTTTAAATTGGATTTTTAAATTATTATTATTTTTTGCTATTAAGTTGTGGATTTTCCTTATATATTTTGGAAATTGACACCTTATCAGATACATGGTTTGCAAATATGTTCTCCCGTTCCAAAAGTGGCATTTTCACTCTATTGATTGTTTCCCTTGCTGTACAGATATTTTGAGTTTGATAAATTTGTTTTTGACCAAACAGGCGAGATTTTCAGCAATTATTTCTTCAAATTGTTCACTTTTTTTTTTTACTTTCTCTTCCTTCTGGCACTTCAATTATGAGAATCATCTTTTGAGATCGTCCCATAGATTGGTGAGGCTCTTTTCATTATTGTAATGATGTTTTGTCCCTGTTCTTTAGATTGGATAATTTCTATTGCTCTCTCCACTGACTTTGTTCTATTGTCTTTAAGATACTATTAAGTGCATCAGTGCATTTTTGTTTGTTTTTAATAGAGTTATTGAGGTATAATTGAAATATAAAATGTGTATATTTAAAGTGTATAATTTGATGAGGTTTACATCCATATACACCCATGAGACAATCACCACAATCAATATAATGAACATATTCACCAATCCCAAAAACTTCCTCATGCTCCTTTGTAATACCTCTCTTGTCGCTCCCTTGCTCCCAGGAAAGCATGATCTACTTTCTGTCACTATAGATTAGTTTGCATTTTCTAGAATTCTATATAAATGAAATAGGACAGTTGTTTCTTTTGTTGTCTGCATCTTTCACTTACATAATTATTATACTTTTCAACTATGTTGTTGCATGTTTCAACACCTCATTCACTTTCATTGCACAATAGTATTCTATTGCAAGAATATATCAGAGTTTGTTTATGCATTGTTGTTTCCAGTTTTTGGTTATTCTACGTAAAATTGCTATGAATATTCATGTACAAGTCCTTGAATGGAAGTATGCTTTCATTTCTCATGAATAAATATCTAGTAGATGGATGTTTAACTTTTTAAAAAATAACAAACTGTTTTCCAAAGTGGTTGTGCCATTTTACACAACCAATCAGCAGTCTATAAGAGTTCCAGGCCAGGTGTGGTGGCTAATGCCTGTAATCCCAGGACTTTGGGAGGCTGAGGCAGGTGGATCACCTGAGGTCAGGAGTTTGAGACCAGCCTGGCCAACATTGTGAAACCCTGTCTCTACTAAAAATAGTTAAAACAAATTAAGTGGGCATGGTGGTGGGTGCCTGTAATCTCAGCTACTTGGAAGGCTGAGGCAGGAGAATCACTTGAACTCAGGAGGTGGAGGTTGCAGTAAGCTGAGATCGTGCCATTGCACTCCAGCCTGAGCAACAAGAGTGAGACTCCGTCTCAAAGAAAAAAAAAAAAAAGAACAAAAAGAGTTCCAGTTGCTCTAGATTGATGCCAATGTTTGGTATGGGATGGCCAGTTTTTAATTTTAGCCACTCTAGTGGGTATGTAGTTGTATCTCATTGTGGTTTTTAATTTGCATTTCTCCAGGAACTAATGATGTTGGAGCAACTTTTCATGTGCAAGGTGATATCCACAAATCTTTTTTTCTGATTATTTGCTCAAATCTTCTGCCATTTTTCATTTGGTTGTTGATTTCTTATTATTGACTTTTGGGTTCTTTGTATATACTGATATAAAGCCTTTATCAAAATTAATATTGAAAATATTTTCTCATAGCTTGTAGTTTGTCTTTATATTTTCTTTTTTTAAAATTATACTTTAAGTTCTAGGGTACATGTGCATGATGTGCAGGTTTGTTACATATGTATATAGGACCATGTTGGTGTGCTGTACCCATTAACTTGTCATTTACGGTAGATATATCTCCTAATGCTATCCCTCCCGCCCCCGCCAACTCCATGACAGGCCCCGGGGTGTGATGTTCCCTACCCTGTGTCCAAGTGTTCTCATTGTTCAATTCCCACCTATGAGTGAGAATATGCAGTGTTTGGTTTTCTGTCCTTGTGATAGTTTGCACAGAATGATGGTTTCCAGCTTCATCCATGTCCCTACAAGGGACATGAACTCATCCTTTTTAATGGCTGCATAGTATTCCATGGTGTATATGTGCCATATTTTCTTAATCCAGTCTATCATTGATGGACATTTGGGTTGGTTCCAAGTCTTTGCTATTGTGAATAGTGCCGCAATAAACGTACATGTGCATGTGTCTTTATAGCAGCATGATTTATAATCCTTTGGGTATATACCCAGTAATGGGATGGCTGGGTCAAATGGTATTTCTAGTTCTAGATCCTTGAAGAATCGCTACACTGTCTTCCGCAATGGTTGAACTAGTTTGCAGTCCCACCAATGGTGCAAAAGTGTTCCTATTTCTCCACATCTTCTCCAGCACCTGTTGTTTCCTGACTTTTTAATGATCACCATTCTAACTGGTGTGAGATGGTATCTCATTGTGGTTTTGATTTGCATTTCTCTGATGGCCAGTGATGATGAGCATTTTTTCATGTGTCTGTGGGCTGCATAAATGTCTTCTTTTGAAGACATTTCTTTGAGAAGTGTCTGTTCATATCCTTCACCCACTTTTTGATGGGGTTGTTTGATTTTTTCTTGTAAATTTGTTTAAGTTCTTTGTAGATTCTGGATATTAGCCCTTTGTCAGATGGGTAGATTGCAAAAATTTTCTCCCGTTCTGTAGGTTGCCTATTCACTCTGATGGTGGTTTCTTTTGCTGTGCAGAAGCTCTTTAGTTTAATTAGATCCCATTTGTCAGTTTTGGCTTTGTTGCCACTGCTTTTGGTGTTTTAGACATGAAGTCCTTGCCCATGCCTATGTCCTGCATGGTATTGCCTAGGTTTTCTTCTAGGGTTTTTATGGTTTTAGGTCTAACATTTAAGTCTTTAATCCATCTTGAATTAATTTTTGTATAAAGGTGTAAGGAAGGGATCCAGTTTCAGCTTTCTACATATGGCTAGCCAGTTTTCCCAGTACCATTTATTAAACAGGGAATCCTTTCCCCATTTCTTGTTTTTGTCAGGTTTGTCAAAGATCAGATGGTTGTAGATGTGTGGTATTATTTCTGAGGGCTCTGTTCTGTTCCATTTGTCTATATCTCTGTTTTGGTACCAGTACCATTCTGTTTTGGTTACTGTAGCCTTATAGTATAGTTTGAAGTCAGTTAGCATGATGCCTCCAGCTTTGTTCTTTTGGCTTAGGATTGTCTTGGCGATGCGGGCTCTTTTTTGGTTCCATATGAACTTTAAAGCAGTTTTTTCCAATCTGTGAAGAAAGTCATTGGTAGCTTGATAAGGATGGCATTGAATCTATAAATTACCTTGGGCAGTATGGCCATTTTCACAATATTGATTCTTCCTATCCATGAACATGGAATGTTCTTCCATTTATTTGTTTCCTCCTTTATTTCATTGAGCAGTGGTTTGTAGTCCTCCTTGAAGAGGTCCTTTGCATCCCTTTTGAGTTGGATTCCTAGGTATTTTATTCTCTTTGAAGCAATTGTGAATGGGAGTTCACTCATGATTTGGCTCTCTGTTTGTCTGTTATTGGTGTATAGGAATGCTTGTGATTTTTGCACGTTGATTTTGTATCCTGAGACATTGCTGAAATTGCTTACCAGCTTAAGGAGATTTTGGGCTGAGACGATGGGGTTTTCTAAATATACAATCATGTCATCTGCAAACAGGGACAATTTGACTTCCTCTTTTCCTAATTGAATACCCTTTATTTCTTTCTCCTGCCTGATTGCTCTGGCCAGAACTTCCAACACTATGTTGAATAGGAGTGGTGAGAGAGGGCATCCCTGTCTTGTGCCAGTTTTCAAAGGGAATGCTTCCAGTTTTTGCCCATTCAGTATTATATTGGCTGTGGGTTTGTCATAAATAACTCTTATTATTTTGAGAGACGTCCCATCAATACCTAGTTTATTGAGAGTTTTTAGCATGAAGTGCTGTTGAATTTTGTCCAAGGCCTTTTCTGCATCTATTGAGATAATCACGAGGTTTTTGTCTTTGGTTCTGTTTATATGATGTATTACATTTATTGATTTGCGTGTGTTGAACCAGCCTTGCATCGCAGGGATGAAGCCAACTTGATCGTAGTGGATAAGCTTTTGTATGTGCTGCTGGATTCGGTTTGCCAGTATTTTATTGAGGATTTTTGCATCAATTGGTTCATCAGGGATATTGGTATAAAATTCTATTTTTTTGTTGTGTCTCTGCCAGGCTTTCGTATCAGGATGATGCTGGCCTCATAAAATGGGTTAGGGAGGATTCCCTCTTTTTCTATTGATTGGAATAGTTTCAGAAGGAATAGTACCAGCTCCTCTTTGTACCTCTGGTTGAATTCGGCTGTGAATCCATCTGGTCCTGGACTTTTTTTGGTTGGCAGGCTATTAATTATTGCCTCAATTTCAGAGCCTGTTATTGGTCTATTCAGGGATTCAACTTCTTCCTGGTTTAGTCTTGGGAGGGTGTATGTGTCCAGGAATTTATCCATTTCTTCTAGATTTTCTAGTTTATTTGCGTAGAGGTGTTTATAGTATTCTCTGATGGTAGCTCGTATTTCTGTGGGATTGGTGGTGATATCCCGTTTATCATTTTTTATTATGTCTATTTGATTCTTCTCTCTTTTTTTCTTTATTAGTCTTGCGAGTGGTCTATCAATTTTGTTGATCTTTTCAAAAAACCAGCTCCTAGATTTGTTGATTTTTTGAAGGGTTTTTTGTATATCTTCTTCAGTTCTGCTCTGATCTTAGTTATTTCTTGCCTTCTGCTAGCTTTTGAATGTGTTTGCTCTTGCTTCTCTAGTTCTTTTAATTGTGATGTTAGGGTGTCAATTTTAGATCTTTCCTGCTTTCTCTTGTGGGCATTTAGTGCTATAAATTTCCCTCTACACACTTCTTTAAATGTGTCCCAGAGATTCTAGTATGTTGTGTCTTTCTTCTCATTGGTTTCAAAGAACATCTTTATTTCTGCCTTCATTTCATTATGTACCCAGCAGTCGTTCAGGAGCAGTTTGTTCAGTTTCCATGTAGTTGTGCAGTTTTGAGTGAGTTTCTTAATCCTGAATTCTAGTTTGATTGCACTGTGGTCTGAGAGACAGTTTGTTATAATTTCTGTTCTTTTGCATTTGCTGAGGAGTGCTTTACTTCCAACTATGTGGTCAATTTTGGAATAAGTGCGATGTGGTGCTGAGAAGAATGTATGTTCTGTTGATTTGGCATGGAGAGTTCTGTAGATGTCGATTAAGTCTGCTTGGTGCAGAGCTGAGTTTAATTCCTGGATATCCTTGTTAACTTTCTGTCTCGTTGATCTGTCTAATGTTGACAGTGAGGTGTTAAGGTCTCCCATTATTATTGTGTGGGAGTCTAAGTCTCTTTCTAGGTCTCTAAGGATTTGCTTTATGAATCTGGGTGCTCCTGTATTTGGTGCATACATATTTAGGATAGTTAGCTCTTCTTGTTGAATTGATCCATTTACCATTATGTAATGGCCTTCCTTGTCTCTTTGGATCTTTGTTGGTTTAAAGTCTGTTTTATCAGAGACTAGGACTGCTACCCCTGCTTTTTTTTTTCCATTTGCTTGGTAGATCTTCCTCCATCCCTTTATTTTGAGCCTATGTGTGTCTCTACATGTAAGATGGGTTTCCTGAATACAGCACACTGATGGATCTTGACTCCTTATCCAATTTGCCAGTCTATGTCTTTTAACTGGAGCATTTAGCCCATTTACATTTAAGGTTAATATTGTTATGTGTGAATTTGATCCTGTCATTATGATGTTAGCTGGTTATTTTGTACGTTAGTTGATGCAGTTTCTTCCTAGCCTCGATGGTCTTTACAATTTGGCATGTTTTTGCAGTGGCTGGTACCAGTTGTTCCTTTCAATGTTTAGTGCTTCCTTCAGGAGCTCTTGTAAGGCAGGCCTGGTGGTGACAAAATCTGTCAGCATTTGCTTGTCTGTAAAGGATTTTATTTCTTCTTTGCTTATGAAGCTCAGTTTGGCTGGATATGAAATTCTAGGTTGAAAATTCTTTTAAGAATTTTGACCCCCACTCTCTTCTGGCTTGTAGAGTTTCTGCCAAGAGATCTTCTGTTAGTCTGATGGGCTTCCCTTTGTGGGTAACCCGAGCTTTCTCTCTGGCTGCCCTTGACATTTTTTCCTTCATTTCAACTTTGGTGAATCTGACAATTATGTGTCTTGGAGTTGCTCTTCTCAAGGAGTATCTTTGTGGCATTCTCTATATTTCCTGAATTTGAATGTTGGCCTGCCTCAGTAGGTTGGGGAAGTTCTCCTGGATAATATCCTGAAGAGTGTTTTCCAAGTTGGTTCCATTCTCCCCATCACTTTGTGGTACGCCAATCAGATGTAGATTTGATCTTTTCTCATAGTCCTGTATTTCTTGGAGGCTTTGTTTGTTTCTTTTTACTCTTTTTTTCTCTAAACTTCTCTTTTCACTTCATTTCATTCATTTGATCTTCAGTCACTGATACTCTTTCTTCCACTTGATCGAATTGGCTACTGAAGCTTGTGCATGCGTCACGTAGTTCTCATGCCATGGTTTTCAGCTACATCAGGTCATTTAAGGTCTTCTCTATGCTTTTTATTCTAGTTAGCCATTCGTCTAATCTTTTTTCAAGGTTTTTAGCTTCTTTGCGATGGGTTCGAACATCCTCCTTTAGCTCAGAGAAGTTTTTATTACCGATCTTCTGAAGCCTTCTTCTCTCAACTTGTCAAAGTCATTCTCTGTCCGGCTTTGTTCCATTGCTGGTGAGGAGCTGCATTCCTTTGGAGGAGAAGAGGCACTTTGATTTTTAGAATTTTCAGCTTTTCTGCTCTGGTTTCTCCCCGTCTTTGTGGTTTTATCTACCTTTGGTCTTTGATGATGGTGATGTACAGATGGGGTTTTGGTGTGGATGTCTTTTCTGTTTGTTAGTTTTCCTTCTAACAGTCAGGACCCTCAGCTGCAGGTCTGTTGGAATTTGCTGGAGGTCCACTCCAGACCCTGTTTGTCTGGGTATCACCAGCAGAGGCTGCAGAACAGCAAATATTGCAGAATGGCAAATGTTGCTGCCTGATCATTCCTCTGGAAGCTTCGTCTCAGAAGGGCACCTGGCCGTTTGAGGTGTCAGTCGGCCCATTCTGGGAGGTGTCTCCCAGTTAGGCTACTTGGGGGTCAGAGACTCACTTGAGGAGGCAATCTGTCCATTCTCAGATCTCCAACTCCGTGCTGGGAGAACCACTACTCTCTTCAAAGCTGTCAGACAGAGACGTTTAAGTCTGCAGAAGTTTCTGCTGCCTTTTGTTCAGCTATGCCCTACCCCTAGAGGTGGAGTCTACAGAAGCAGGCAGGCCTCCTTGAGCTGTGGTGGGCTACACTCAGTTCAAGCTTCTTGGATGCTTTGTTTCCCTACTCAAGCCTCAGCAATGGTGGATGCCCCTCCCCCAGCCTCACTGCTGCCTTGCAGTTTGATCTCAGACTGCTGTGCTAGCAGTGAGTGAGGCTCCGTGGGCATGGGACCCTCTGAGCCAGGCACGGGATATAATTTCCTGGTGTGCTGTTTGCTAAGACTATTGGAAAAGCGCAGTATGAGGGTGGGAGTATGAGGGTACCCGACTTTCCAGGTACAATCTGTCATGGCTTCCCTTGGCTAGGAAAGGGAATTCCCTGACCCCTTGCACTTCCTGGGGGGGGCGATGCCCCACCCTTCTTTGGCTCATGCTCCCTGGGCTGCACCCACTGTCTGACCAGTCCCAGTGAGGTGAACCCGGTACCTCAGTTGGAAATGCAGAAGTCACCCATCTTCTGCATCACTCACGCTGGGAGCTGTAGACTGGAGCTGTTCCTATTTGGCCATCTCGGAACCTCTTTCTTTATATTTTCTTAACAGTGCCTTTGAAAAGCAGAAGTTCTAAATTTTGATAAAGTCCCATTTATAAATTTTTTTCTTTCATGAATTCTTGTTTTGGCATCATATTTGAAGAATCTTTGCTTAATCTAGGTAAAAAGGGATTTCATCCTGTGCTTTAATTTTCTAGAGGCATTATAATTTTAGATTTTATGTTTATTCCCATGACCTATTTTGAGTAAATTTGTATATATGATGCAATCCATATGATTTCAGTTCACATAATTTATGGATTGAAATTCATTAATTAACTAATTGATGCATGCATATGGATGCTTAATTTTTCCAGTGCCATTTGTTGGGAATACCATCCTTTCTTCACTGAATTGCCTAACACTTTTGTAAAAAAATCAATTGAAAATTGATTTGTTTTCAATTTTTTGGGTCTAATTCTGGATTCTATATTTTGTTCCATGTCTATTTGTCTATCTTGATGCCAGTACTAAATGTCTTGATTACTGTAACCTTGTAATAAATCTTGAAGCTTGGTAGTATGTCATTCAACTTTGTTCCTCTCTAACTTATTTTGGTATTCTATGTCCTTTAAGTTTCCATATGAATTTTAGATCTTCACTTTAATGCTCTGCCAACTGAGCTATTTCAGTCAAATTTTAGAATAAACTTCTCAACTTAAAGCCTGCTGCAATTTTCATTGGGATTGTGTTGGATGTATAGAACAGTTTGGAGAGAATTGACATCTTAGCAATATTGAGTCTTTCTACCCATGAAACAGAAACCCATGAACCTCCTTCATTTTTTGAGGTGCTCTTCAGTTTCTCTCAGCCATGTTTTATGGTTTTCAGTTACACATGTCACATGTTTTATTAGACTTATCTCTAAGTGTTTCATAGTTTGGGTTGCTATTGTAAATTATGTCTTTTTTAAAATTTTAAGTCCTGAGTACTTATTGCTAGGAAATAAAATAGAATTGATTTTTAAAATATTGAGCTTGTATCCTGGAATATATTAGTTCTAGTAGGTTTTTTTTTCTGGTAGGGTCTATGGAATTTTCTACACAGCACATTATGTTATCTCCATCCAGTGAATATTTCATTTCAGGTAATTTTAGTTTTCAATTCTACAATTTCATTTGGTTCTTTTTTAAACAGTCTATTTCTCTGCTGAGATTTTCTGTTTTTATTTACTTGGCGAACATTTTTCTTTATGTCCTTGAGCATAGTTGTAACAGTTATAACAGCTGATTTAAAATCCTTTTTTTCCCTAATGCCAACATCTGGGTTATCTCAGGGTCAGACTTCATTTTGCTGCTTTTAAGTATGTCTAGTAATTTCAGATTGTATCCAGGACATTCTAAATTATATGTTGTAGACACTCTGGCTTATTCTGTTATGGTCCTCAGAAAACTTGGTTTGTTTGTTTTTTAAAGCAGGAAGTTTAGCTTGCTGGACTAAAATTCTAAACTGGCTCCAATATTGCAGGCAGTGGAAAAATTCTCTTCTTTTACCCTCAGCTGGGTTTCTTCATGTCTGTCTCATACATGCACAGTTCAGGAGACGGCCAGATATTAGGACAGAATTTATGTGCAGAATGTAGGGCTCCTGTGTTAGCCTGTTCTCTCACTGCTGTAAAGAAATGCCTGAAACTGGGAAATTTATAAAGAAAAGAGGTTTAATTGGCTCACAGTTCTTCAGGCTGCACAAGAAGCATGGCTAAGGAGGTCTCAGGAAACTTACAATCATGGTGCAAGGCGAAGGAGAAGCAGGCTTCTCCTACATGGCTGAAATAGGAGGAAGAGAGAGAGGGGGAGGTGCTACATGCTTTTAAACAACCAGATCTCTGATAACTCACTCAGTATCATGAGAACAGCAAGGGGGAAGTCTGCCCCCTGATCCAATCACCTCCCACCAGCCCCCACCTCCAACCATTGGGGATTACAATTTGTCATGAGATTTGGGCAGGGACATAGACTCAAACCATATCAGCTCCCTATCCTTGGCTCATTTCTATTTGCGTTAGCCCTCACCACCACCCCAAACCCCACCCTCTCGACCCTGCATCCAGCTGCTGTGGGTACCCTGAACTGTATCCTCTGGTTCGTTAAGCCATAGGACTGTGGAATGCCTTTCAAGTGTCAGCCGCACCACTTGCTGCCGAATGAAGCCTGCCTTCAGGTTAAAAACAATGTAAAAATGGGAAATAAATCAGGTGAATCAGGTGCCATTCCCTTCTTCCAAGATAAGTCCAGTCTCCCCTCAAGGCTTGTGTTCTGTGGCATGGATCATGGCTCACTGCAGCCTTGACCTCCCCATCTCAAGCCATCCTCCCATCTCAGCCTCCTGAGTAGCTGGCACTAAGGCATCGGCCACCACACATGGCTAATTTTTTTGTATTTTTTTGTAGAGATGGAGTTTCACCATGTTGCTCAGGCTGGTCGGAAGCTCCTGGGCTCAAGGGATCTGCCTACCTCAGCCTCCCAAAGTGCTGGGATTACAGGCCTGAGCCACCGTGTCTGGCCTTAAGTTCTTATTTTTGATTGTTCTTCGGTGACTTCATGTAGTTATTTTAAAAAGTATTTCCCATGGTTTATAGTTTTATCTGCAGGAGAATTAGTCCAATAAGAGATACTTGATTGTCATACTTAAGCAGCAAACAGTTTAGTTGCAGGGACAGGAGTCAAATATAGGGAGAAGCCAAAGAATGACTTCAGAAGCATAATATGAACAAAGGCATGATTCATTCATGCATTTATTTATCCAACAAACACTTTGAGCCTCTGCTGCAGGTAGGGCTCTTCTCAAGGCACAAGGTAACATAATGTTGAGTATAGATAGACATTCTGTGGTCATTCAAACTAAAAGATCATTTGGAACAAATTGACTTCAGAGGGGGTTTGGAAAAAAAAAACCCTAGTAAACCAGGATTAGGCATCTTCTGAGGGCATAAAAAGTGTGTACGTTTTTACTTTCCTACAGGGTCCCCACCAGATACATACATATGGCTATTGAGCACTTGAAATGTGTGTAGTCTGAAATGATCTGTGCTGTAAGTATATAATATTTTATACACCCCAGATTTTATACACCACAGAATAAAGTATTTTATATGTGCCAGATTTTAAAGACTTAGTATAAAAAAAATCTCATTTTTACTTTTTTGAAATGTACTATTTTGGACATATTTGATTAAATATATATATTATTACAATTAATGTCACTGATTTCTTTTTACCTTTTTAATGTGCCTACTAGATTATTTAAAATCCATATGTGGCTCACATTATTTTTCTATTGGACAATGGTGGTCTAGACCAGAAGTCAGCAAACTTTTTCTTTGAAGGGTCAGAGTTGCTATTTCAGACTTTGTAGGCCATATGGTCTCTGCTGTAACTACTCAACTCTGGCAATGTCATATAAAAGAAGCATAGTTAATACAAAAGCAAATGAGTATGGCTATGGTACAATGAAACTTTATTTATAGATGCTGATTTTTGAACTTCATGTAATTTTCATGTGTTACCAACCACCATTCTTTTGATTTTTTTCTCCCAATGATTTAAAAATATAAAAACTCATTTTGGTTTGCAGTACATACAAAAACAGGTGGTGAGCTGGATTTGGTCTGTGGGCTACTGTTTGCTGAACCATGGTCTGGACCATCATCTTGAAGGACCCCAGAAACAATTTAACAATTTTCTTTGGAAAGCGTCATGTGAAATAAAACCTGAAGTGGAATGAATCATTGTTTGCAGTTCTTTATGATCTTCTACATTAGAATTACATACCCACTTTCTTTCCCATGTGGCTTTGCAGTACCAGTTATCAGAGTAGGTGGAGTGTATTTTCCCATCTCATCAAAATTGGCTTGACTATGGGACTTATACTGGCTAGTGGAATGTAGGTAGAAGTGGCAGTATGCCAGTTCCCAGTTGAGGCTTCAGAGGAATTGCGTGTTTCCATCCACCTTGAAATTTCTGTCTTTACCAGGATGCAAGTTGCCTCTGGATTGCTTTTACCATTTTGGCCTAAGTCCTAGAATAGGCACGCATAAAATTGACCAGAGCCCAAACTTCAGTTGAGATATGTCAAGCACAACCTGATCTGCAGCTTGAAGCAGAGGCATTTAGCCAAGCCCAGTGTAAATCAGCAAATTTATAACTGACCCACAAATTTGAGAGAGACAAGTGTTTATTGTTGTGTGTTACTAAGATTCTGTGATTGTTCATTACACAACATTTGCCGACCACTACAAATTCTATTTTCATTTTCCTTTCTTCGTATCTCACTTTATACCTTCCCATCTTGTCTTCATGGGCAAATGCTGGGACCATCAGAAGTGGCACCGTGGCTGCATTAGCAGTGCACTTGCTTCTAGGATTTCTCAGTGTAGGTATTGCTTATTTCGTGCTGACTCTGGGAGAAAGACAGCCAGTTAATCTAGATGCAATTGAATTTAGAAATCACTCAAATCTAATTTTACTCACTTCTTCATTCCCAAGATATTTTTCTGCATCCTTTGGTTGTGTGTGTTTCAAATCATTTCCCACTGTTTATTTTTAATTTCTACTTTATTTTAATTATTTAATAGGTGGCATCTGTGCTGTGCCTGTCATTCATTGAGAACAGTTTGTTTTCTGCTTATGGAATCACAAAAATATTTAATCTGAAGCTTCAGTGGTGCAGCCGTCCTTGAGGCTGCAGACCATAGGATCCTTCCTTCTCTGTCTGGATGCACTGGAGGGCCAGCATTCTCGGAGGTGGCCAGGGTCCTCTGAGAAGCCAGCGCCCAAGTGGTACCTGAGTCCAGTGAACGGCAAGTAAGAAGCTTTCCTTCCTTCAGTTCCTGCTTTTGAACAAATGTATGCTTTCTTAAATGTCCCCAGGTAACACACTGTGGATGGCCTGCACAATGACAGGTGTTAGGGATCAGTGCTCATACTGTTGATGCTTTCCCAAGCCAGATCACCTCTACTTTTGGGGCTGAGTCCATTGGATAGGTGAGTCAAAATGTGGATCAGTAGGGTTGTATCTACTCATGCCCCGGGGACCTGACTCTAGATGCCAAGTGAGTTCTGAGTCATAAGTGGTGGATTCCATAGAGAGGAAGAGATTGAAGGAGAAATGGAGCATAATTAGCAAAATAATAATGATGATAAAAGTTGTCAGCATCATGCTAGCCATTCCTATTGTACAATTTTCACAATTTAGAGCAAACCAATCCCGTGATTTCTCTGCCAAAGCCTTCTAATTTGGGAGCCTCAGTTCCTTCATCTCTAAAATGGGTTGGCTTGATTAGACAGCTTTTTATAGCCTTGCCATACCAGGCGTTGGATGAATTCTATGTTCATGATCTAATTTGCAATAATGTCAATGTTGAAATCTATGGTCTTATTTCTTTTTCTTGTAATTTTATGGAGGGCCTAACATCCTGCCAATACTTTGTGTGAAGTCTGTTATGGGTTCTGAAATGATATTGCTAAAGCTCTATTCTTTTGGAATAGGCACTGAAGAAATGCCTCCTGGACATTTCTTCATAGCATTACACCTGCCATTTACAACTTAGTGAGAACCACTGTGTGAGATTAGTTTGCTAGTCCCCTAGCACTATCTGAACAGGATTTGACCCTGAAAGTGGGCAGGCTGAGTGTTTGGGGAAGGGCACAAAAACAGGGAAATTGTGGTGCAGGCATATTAGGTTGGGTTACAAAGGAAAGGGGAACATGGTGGGTGGAATGTAGGGAGCTGTTTCAGGCTCTGGAAGGTTCCCTGGAGCCAAGCAGCGGGGTTTCCACACAGACCAGAACAGTCTGCCCTGGAACAGATTGCAACTGAGGTGGGAAGATGGTACACAGGAAACAGCAGGAATAAGCAAGAGAGACTCTTGCCTGGGCTCCCAGCCTCCACTCTGGGCCCTGCGCAATCTATTCTCTTTCCTGCAGAACAGACAGTGTGGCATTGTGAAACTTACACCAGGCTATGGCTCTCCTCAAAACCCTGCAACAGCTTCTTATCACGCTAAGAATGAAGCCACCACGCTCACCATGGTCCACAGGCCTCCATCAAGCTCTGTCTAGCCCCCGACCTCATTTCTCCCCTGCATCCTTCCTGGATCACTGTTTTCCAACTGCACAGGCCTTGGTTTTTCTCATTTAATACACCAAGAAAACCCCTGCCTTGGCATTGGCACTAGATCTTCTTCCCCCTGGAAGCTTCGTCTTTCAGATAGTGACATGGCTTGTTTCTGCAATTCACTCAGGTCGCCACCCCAATGTCACCTCCTCCGACTCTCAATCACTGTCTATCCATCAATATGGCTTTATTTTCCTGCAGAGCATATTTCACTGCCTGATCCTGTGTATATGCTTATGATTTCTTGTTAACCTGTCTCCCTTATTAGAGCACAGGCTCCCTGAAGGTAGGTTCTTTGCTTATTTTGCTCTCTGCTGCACAGCCAGTCTCAAGAACAATGTCTGGTATCTGGTTTATTCTCTAAATAGAGGATTGAATGAATGAATGAACAAATAGCTTTAGTGTCTGGTTGTAAGGCTGCAGGCTACCTGTGCTTGGGAGGACTTGGTTGTTGATGTTTCATTGGGCTGGTTGAGCAGTTGCACTAGATAGAGAGATAGACAGATAGATGGAATCTGATACTCAGTGATATTATACAGAAATAGATGGTATGAAAGAATGAATGGAAGAGTTCATCTTAATGCTGTAATATTTTTCCAATTATCACACAAGGAAATACACTATGAGCCAATCTAAGGAACTATTTTTGACTTTCAGAGATGCTCCAAAAGTGAGTGAGGGAGAAAAACTACATTCCCTGCCTCTAGAAGGTTTTGAGTAGTATCTGTATGCAGAGCTTTTTAGAGATGATTTTTTAAGAGAAGACTTCAAATAGAGTCAGAACTAGATGAACCCTGATGTCCCTCCGTGACTCTCAGCCCTTTCTGGTCCCTTGTTTTCACCTGAAAGCATCATAGTTTGAACTTTATGTTGCTCCTGGATACTTTTTAAAAAATTGTATTGTTTTTTGTTCTCTCTTGTATTCTTTGTGTCTGGAAAAAGTTCTTCAAACAGTAAAATCAGATGTTGGTAGCATCTACAGGGCTGGACAGGCGGTAGATGCTTCTTATCTTTGAAGAGGCAGTTGCTTCTGGCAGGAGCAGTCAGGGAAGACTTCCTGGAGGAGGCAAAACTTGAACTGGACATTGAGAGATAGATAAACCAGAAAGAAATAGGAGAAGGGAGGAAAGATAAGGACAACATTGCCGGCAAAAGGCTCAGAACCCCAGAAGTGGCAACAGCTCTCTCCTACCTCTCTGGCTAGGACAGAAAATTTTTTCTCTAGGGCCTCATGTGGAGGGTAGTGGGAAATAGGACACAGCCGTCTCCCCATTCCTTAGCACTGAGCTTCTCGAGGAATTGCTCTCTTTGCAGGTGTAGTCACTTAGGTTCTTGTGCCACACTTTTGGGGGCACATTTCCAGTGAGAACTAATGCCTGCCAAAATTCACATCTCCTGAGTTGCCAAAGCCCCGCCTCCACCTAGCACACCTGGCTTCCCCCATGCCCTGAGGAGTAGGAAGAGGGGGGCACAAAACTGGCAAATTGGTATAAGTCTGAGCCACAGCCAAGTTTATTTAGATATGCAACAGAAGTGGGCTAATAAAGGGGGGATGGGACTCGGCAATGTAACTGGTGTAAATTGGGAGCAAATCACTAAAACAAATGTTAAAAGTAGACATTGTTAAAAAACAAGTCCCAATAGCAAAAAAAAAATATATTGAATTTCTGTTTTCTCTACACATCACATGACTTAACTGTATTTTGGGCTGAATATATGCACTTATTCCACATCCTCTTAGGGCAGAAAGTGACCTAGGAGTCTCAGGTACGAGGAAGTTATATTGACAAATGAGCTTATGACCAAATGTCAAGGGGACATATGTTCTGGCATCAGCAAGTAGCTGCAGCCTCTGGATGACCAGGTCGCTTAGTCCAAGACCTTGTGAAAAGCTTAGCCCTCAAAGAAAATATATATATAATATATATATTATATATAAGAGATACATAATATATATAATATATAAATATATAAAAGATATATAATATATATAATATATAAAAATATAAATATATATATTACTCATATATACACTATATATATGAATATATAGTGTATATATATTCAAATATAGTGTATAGATATTCAAATATATCAAATATATATGAATATATATTTACTCATTTAATATATATTAAATATATATGAATACATATATTTACTCATTTAATCTCAAGACCTGTGAAAAATAGAGAACAAATATTGGCCCTTGCTCTATAAAAGCCATAGACTTTAGCTTTATTGAAGGAACTTGAATTGCAAAATCATCTCATCTAAAGAAAAAAAATGATCTTTTACACTGTCTTTGCCTTTTAAAGATACACTGTGTAATCAGTTGGCTTGTTAGGCTGTTTAACAGGTAAAGAATATTAAAATATTTGCCTTGGTTTCTGCACTTTCTCAGTGCTGTAAACATCACAGAACAGAGCCTGCCAATCATTTACTGGCTGCGTGGATGAAAGCGTTTGATGGAGGCAACAGTCTGTAACCAAACAAGATGCCTGCAAAATTTTGACTCTGTTGTGGCCCAACTTAGTTTTCTGTTGCTTATAAGAGAATACCTGAAACTTGGTAACGTATAAACAAAAGGAATTTATTTCTTAAGTTCTGGAGGCTGAGAAGTCCAAGGTCGAGGGGCCATTGGTGAGGGCCTTCTTGCTGGTGGGGATGCGGCAGAGTCTAGAGGCAGCACAGGATGTCATATGGTAAGGGGGGGTGAGCGTGCTAACGTGTCAGCTCAGGTCCCACTTCCTTTTCTCATAAAGCCTCTGATCCCACTCCCATGATATTCCATTAATCCATTAACTCATTAATTCATTAATTCATGAGGGCAAAGTCCCCATGACCCAATCACCTCTTTTTTTTTGCGGAGGGGGGGATGGAGTCTCACTCTTTCACTAGGCTGGAGTGCAGTGGTGTCGTCTTGGCTCATTGCAACCTCTGCCTCCTAGGTTCAAGTGATTCTTCTGTCTCAGCCTCCTGAGTAGCTGGGACTACAGGTGCGTGCCACCACGTCCGGCTAGTTTTTGTATTTTTAGTAGAGATGGGGTTTCACTATGTTGGCCAGGCTGGTCTCAAACTCCTGACTTCAGGTGATCCACCCACCTCAGCCTCCCAAAGTGCTGGAATTACAGGCATGAGCCACCATGCCTGGCCCCAATCACCTCTTAAAGGTCTCATCTCTCAATACTGCCATACTGAGGATTAAATTTTAACATGAGTTTTAGATGGGACAAATACTCAACCATAGCATGGCCTGATAGTATTTCTCAGAGTGGATCCAAGAGCTGAATCAGAGGCAGCTTGTTCCACTAGGCACATGGGTGGACCACCCTTGTTTCCTGGCATTGGACATTGTCCGTGGAGATGGTCACCAGTCTTTTCCCTTGCAGAGCTATAGAATGGCAAAAACCCACCTGAGACAGCCAGTGTCATGGGATTCATGCCAAGAATCTCTTTGTTTTCCTGCTAGAATAATGTTGTCAATTATTGGGATTTCTGAGGAAGTCCCCTATGAATAGAACTCCTCTTTTCTGCTGGGCTCTGAATAAGTTATGAACTGAAGAGCAAGAATGGGTTTCAAATATACCACCGATAACAAGTAAGTTGGAGGCCATGAGTCCCATTCTGTTAACCAAGTAGGCTTGTTATTTGAAGCTCAGAATGAGGCAGTCCCATCTCCCTAGGCCTGGTAGCACTGAATGGGCAAGGCCTGGTACAGGGAAAGGGCTATCCAGATCAGAGTTTTGGGAGAAATCCTGCTTTCCATGGACTAGCTAGTTCCCACAATTAATGAAATCTGAGTTCAGCTGAGCATCCTGAGTTATTTTTCTCAAATTTCCTAATCAAAGGAGTGGTGGGAGATGGGCAGAAACCAAAGCGTTTCAACAAGGGAGTTCCCTCTACTTGGACAGAAACATCAGGAATGGACAAAAAGCTTCCTCCATCCCTAAAATTACCATGCGTAGGAAGCCACTCCTTGCAGGACGATCAAGTTCTCAGCTATCCCCACTCCACTCTGTGAACTCCATCCTCTCTGTTCTTCAGCTTCCCCAATTCTTAATGCAGACAGAGCTGCTCCAACTTTAACCTACTGTGTTAAACATTGGTGCCCATGCACCAAACATAAATAGAGGGATACATGGCAGAAAGGTGGCTCTTACTCTGCTGAGTTTCCCAAGGCTTCTGCCATACCTTGGCCTGATATTACCTCCCATTTATAGGAAGGTATCAGTCTTCTAAGGGCCCTCCTGGAATTCTCTCTCCCACACTGTAATTCACACTGCATGCTATCACTGGACTAATTTTCTGAAAACACTGCTCTTACTGAGTCACTCCAACTCTCTGAGTCTCCATTTTATCATTGCGCAGTGGGTATGTTTATGTTTTCCCTGCTTGCCTACCTCACATCAAAGACCATGGATGGAAAAGCATCCTGATGACTGAAACATGTTGTGTGTATGGGAGTGCACCAATCTTGGGGGCCCTCTTACTTCCTATGGTCTATCAGATCAAGGATGCACTGTTGGGCTTGTGTCCAGAGCCACTGCAAGCAGGCACACGCTGGACCTCCTCTTTCCCTGTTTCCTTACAATCGTGGTTCTCTTTTTCTTCCTTACCTGTCCCTCTGGGAAGTCTTGCCTGACTGCTCCTACCCTCAGGAATCTCCCTCTCATCTGAGCTCTTAAAGGCACTGTAGTTGGAATAAATTGTTCTCAAGCATGGCTGCACATTAGAAATATCCAGAGAGCTTTGAAATAATAGTGTTGCCTGCACCGCATCTAATTTCAATTGCATTAAAATATCTTGGTGTGGGGCCAGGGTGGCTGTGTTTTCTCAAAGCTCTCCAATGACTCTAATGGACAGCCAGGGTAGAAAGTCCCTGGTCGATACCTGACACTTAGCACTGAATTGTTTTGTTGTGTGAGTCCATCTTTTCTCCCTAATTACTCTGAATTTTCCCTAGGACAGAAGCCCTGCCTCAGCTCTTCCTCCTTCTTTCCCTTGTGCTTTTTGTCCCTCCAGAACACATCTGGTTTCTATGGGTTGTAGTTAGTGAATTTGCTTCAGAACACATTCATCTGCCCTTTCTCCTGCCCCCAAGTCTGAACTCAGTGAGCATTACTCAAAACTGTGTGGTGGGTCATAGCGTGAGTCCCTCCTGTGCTGCTATGTGGAATTCAAATATATTCATGTGTGTTTGGTGGACTCGTAAGTGGCATCAACAAGGAGTCTCTTTGTTTGAGGGACCCATCAGTTTCTTTCTTGGAAGAGAATTCATTTTTCTTTTTTTCGGTGGTGGGAGTCAGGAAACAACAGAAGCAAATATTTAGAATCAAACATCCAGAACCAACATTAGGAGGCAATGAAGAAACATTTCCATGCAGAAAAATTCTCTGATGATTACATACATTCAGGAGCTGGGAGGCTGAGACAAGTGTCTTTTAACAATGTCACTGCAGCTCACACTTTATTAAACGCTGGTCACTGACCTTCCCTCATGCTCCAGCCCACTGTTCCTCTCTTTGCCAACAGGAAGCCATGTGGGGGTTTCTCAAATCTTTCTGGGAATTTGATGGTTCTAATTGTGGAAGGGCTCAAGAATTCTTAGAGCTCAAGAATGAAGTTTCTATTTTCAACAGACACATTCACGATTACATTTATTTCTAACACCATTCACATGTGCACATAGAGAGACACCGTGCATGTTAAGTGATTATATACCCACTCAGCATGCCTTTCTACATGGAGGTTGTTCTAGCTATGATAATTCTTCCAGCCTGACCAACTCCGGACAGTTTCAGGTTGGTTGCAGTTTTGGATTAATAGAATGCTCCCATTTCATTTCTTTTGTTCTTTTTTGCACATCATTCCAGGCACTATGTTCCAGGTTTTCTGCTCTCCCGGTGTCTTCTTGCATATCTGTTGCACTTAGTTTCTCTCTGTTGCACTTAGTTTCTCCCCAGGCTATACTTAGAGATTTTGCAATTTTGCTTCAGGACACATTTACTCCTTGGTGCCTGTTTCCTGAGAAGACTTACTCTGGTTTATGGAAAAACACTAACTCAACTGCTGAACATTTAGTTTTGTATCTCACAGATGCAAAAGTCTCAGACTGTCCATTGTACTTCATATCCACCCTTAACTATCACTCTCTAAATCTCACTTCTAATCAGTCAGTGGCATAAACTCAATAGTAGACTTGGCTTGACAAGCTCATTGTTATCTGACTAAGGCAGCTTATAATGTCAGTAGGGCCTATTGCAAATGTCTTGCTTTGCCTCACACCTGGACTACTCTATGTCAATGGAATGCTTGATTTTTGAGGACTAGAGATCATTGTCCAACAGTGAATCTGGCACTGTGTTATGGAGTATGGTCACAGCTGAGTCTAATCTGTGTTCACCAATGAAATTCACATGTATCATGTGTGGTTGGTAGACTGGTGGGGCAGCCACACAAATATACTTCTTGGTTGAGTGAGCATATCCTCTCCCAGTCTTTTTGTGACTCCAAGATTTTAGGCTGGTGTGGCACTTGGGTCAACACTCTTCATTTGCCCTGGTATTATGCACGTGTGTGTACATGTATGGTCTGCAGTAATTATAGCATATGCCACCTGCTGCATCCCAGAAGCATGCTGGGTAGCATGAGAACATTTTTGCATGTATGGGATGCTTTTCAAAATTAGCATTTATTTCAATAATTTCTCCTCCTTCTCTGAGGGTCAGTTAGCACATCTGTGGAGACTGCACCCCTTGTTTCCTGGAACTGGAGATTGTCAAGGATACCTGATTTCTTCCTGTTCAGCACAGAGAGAGAGGCATGAGGGTCTGTGGGCTCAGCAGCGAGCATCAGAATCTCATGGAGAGGTTTCAGCAAGTCTGCTGGGAAGACATATGCTTGGAATTATTTTTCCATAGTTGGGAACAGAGCCAGAAGTACTTTATTTCATTCATTTCTTTGTTCAACATGATTTAGGTTGCTAATGTGTGTCTTTACTTGTTTTGAGAGCTATGGGGGGTAGGAAAGACAGTTTTATAAAACATCTCTTCCATCAAAACTGAGGAGACAACACACACCTCACAGCCCCCCCCGCCCCAAAACACAGACTCCACACACACGACATGAGTGAGAAGAAAGCAGCACCAGTTGTTCGATGCACGTGAGGCTGGGTGAGAGGGGCTGTCAGTCTGGAGAGGTGACCTCCTCCTGGATCTTGCCATAATTGAGTCTTCAGCCCTATATTCATTCTCAGGCTGAGCCTAACTAGTCTAGCTGTGAGCAGAAATCAGCACAAAGAAAGAAAAGGAATATTCATGTTTATGTTGAATACCAGGATCCAGGAATGGAGAGAACAGGGGTCCATCTGTTTTGCATCAGTGTTGTAAGACTCAGGCATATCTTTATTGAATGTCTTTTGAATGTATTCTACAGTTTCTGGGGCTCTGGCCCAGAAGAAGATGCATTTGCTGCAAATAAACATTCCTTTTTGAAATATAAACAATAGATTCATTTACCCAATGCTATGTGATCCAGCCCTTTGAGGAATCTGGAAAAGGCCTTAACTCCATCCAAAATTGTTCCTAGCAGTGATACTAATAGGCAGGGAGACACGAAGAAAGAGGGACTCACTTAGCCAACTGAGATTTAGAAGAATTATTGATTCATAGAAACATTTCTTCTGGTATGAAGGGCAGAGGTCTCGCCTGAACCAAAGCTGAGGTTAAGCTAGACTTGGGCATCAGGCAAAAGAGACTTTGCTCAGTGGCCTTACCAACTGGTCTTTAGGCTCTCCCAGAGCATAGAAGCCAACTGGGAAAATAGGAAGGAGGAGGCCAGTTTCTTGGGCTGTGTTTTTGATGAATTCAAGTTTTCTGGAAAAGAAAGAGGAGAGTCTCTCCCTCTCCCACTGGGAAATGGGTCCCTTGAGGGTATCCAGTTTGTGATCTTCTATTCATGCATATCATCTGTTTGGCTCTATATTTGGGAAATTACTTCTATTTGGTGCACTTAATTGCTGAGATTGTTGTGGATTTGTTGCATTTAAAAAAATTCAGTAAAAGACACAGAAAGATTGACAGTAAAATGTTTATCAGGTGAAAGTAACCTTCACAGATTCACAGACCCAGGTTCATCTTATAAATACTGATTTTGGAGGCCCAGGAAATAGTTGAGGGGCTGTTGATTTTCTCATTATTCCATGGACAGAAAGTAATAGAAATAATAACAATTATAGGTATGAATGTTTGAACACCTATAACATGTCAGTAAGCACTCAGAATTTTACATCAATTTGAACAGACAGAGATGGAAAAATCTGTGATTCTACTTGTGGGGACTCTGTCACTCCAAGGTCTTGATCCTGAATGGCCCCTCGTGGTGCTCAGTGATGCCCATCCCACCAAGTCAGAGCAGGTTCTAGAAAGATTCCTCCCCCTGCCCTCCTGTTTTGAGGATAATCTTGTAAGGTTTTTAAGTTATTCATGACCACACTTGAGGAGGAAGCTGAACCAGAGAGGTTTGGGGACTGCCTGTCCAGCAAGCCAGCAGAACTGTCACTGACCATCAGACCTGAGAAAGTTGGAGTTGCCAAACAGCAGAGAAATGACCACAGCAGCTACAGCAAGGAGGCCTTTGAAACTGGCTCAGTTCCCCAGCTGTGAAGCCTGACCATTTCTAACTGCGCATCTGAGGGCATGTTTTCTTTCTTGTTTATACTTCCCATTTCTTGAACTTTCTGACCTCTTTCCAGAAAACATCAGTTTGTTACAGCAAATCAAAAAAGTGACCTGCTCATTCATTTATAGAGATGTATCAGTAGCCTGTGGTGGGTACATCATTGTAGAAGAGCTTAAAGCAAGTGCTCTGAGCTGAAATGCTCAACTTTCTTTAGGATTGATGTCTGCTGGGACAGGGATAGAATGCTGTTCATCAGCCATATACATTATTCTGTTCCCCACCCAACTGGTTGATTGCAGAGTCCACTTGATGCCTGGAGAAGTTCCATCTGTAGGGGAATTTGGAAATGTGTGAGAGAGGCCTTTGGTTGACACAATGATATGGGGAGGAGGGATAGGGATGGGTCCTGTGCCTGGAGAATTGTCTCTAATCCTACAGGAATCTCAAATGTTTCAATGGACATTGATGTAGTTGAAAAATCTTTTGACTGGCAGAGCCTAGCTTCTAACTGTTCTGCATGTAGCACAAAGCATTTTGTGTGCAATTGCAGTTTGCACTGACTTTCCCAGAGGAAGTAACTACTGTGTAAATTGAGAGAAGATTGTGTTTCATTATGTTCAGGAATTGACCAAGAATTGTGTTCATCTTTCTGATCATGGAAAATCATGATCACCAATGGCAATGCCTCACCTGGTATCGGAGCTGTCCTACAATATACCCGTAACATTATGCGTTTATAGCTATCTCATTCCTAGTGAGTCTGTGTAAAGACACACAGAGCATCTGGCCACTTCATTGTGTCTTCTAGGTTAGTCATCCTCTTGACCATTTACAGATTGAAAAGTGTGTTATTTTATTCTTTTCTGTGTATTTCTCCATGATATTATATTTAGGGCATTATATTCATGTTCATTTTTGCACATTTTTGATGCTTCTTTTGCCTAAGAATGCAATTATGTTGTTAAATGAGGTAAACTTGTACTATGTTTTGCCCAGAACTTTACCAAGTGTTGTTCACCATTTTGTAAAATCAGCTTTCTGATGGAAACAGTGCTCGTGATAATTGAATCATAAATATAAGACACTTGAGTCAGCTTGCAGTTTTAGATGCCTCATTCATGGTGATTCTTCCAAATACAGGTGTAAACATCTGATGATTTTATTGTTTGCTAGTGTAATCATTCTCATTTACATATTGAGATTTTTTTAATATTACATATTATTTCCTTTCATCTCTCCTTTAACTTATAGTTAGGACATTATATTTGTATTTAAAAAATTATATGGCTAGGATATATTATCTGTGACTTTCATATGAGGATAGGAGAGGGGCATTACTAAAAGCTTGTTATAGAAGGGGAGCATTGGCTCTAACCGGGCTTTGATGAGAGGCATTGAGGGGACACCCTGTGCAGACCAAGCCTGGCATGAAGAAAACACACCCATTTACCTCACGCCCTTTGTGGGGCGACGTGGGTATCCAGCTTTCTGTATCAGGTTCTTTCTCTACACAGCCACATGACTTGGCTGAAGGTCAATTTGCCAAATACAAGTCAGCAATTTGTCAACAGATCAGTTGATTAGATTCAACTTCCTTCCAAGAGTTTTCTCTTCTATTGAGGTGACCTGTATGCTTTTCACCTTTTTTCCCCAAAACACACTGCCACTTTTGCCTTACTATCCTCTGTGTCTTCTCTCTTTCTGTATATAAATATATGTAAACACACACACTCACACATTTTCTTTTTTTTCCAGTTCATTTGCGACTAAATACACAACAATACCCCATTGTCCCTAAGTACTTTAGTTTGTGTTTCCTAAAAACAAAGACATTACCCTACAAAGCCATGGTACAGGCTTGGCACAGTGGCTCACGCTTGTAATCCCAGCACTTTGGGAGGCCGAGGTGGGCAGATCATGAGGTCAGGAGATCGAGACCATCCTGGCTAACACGGTGAAACCCCATCTCTACTAAAAATACAAAAAAAAAAAAAAAATTAGCTGGGCGTGGTGGTGGGCACCTGTAGTCCCAGCTACTTGGGAGGCTGAGTCAGGAGAATGGCGTGAACCCAGGAGGTGGAGCTTGCGGTGAGCCGAGATGGCACCACTGCACTCCAGCCTGGGTGACAGGTGAGATTCTATCTCAAAAAAAAAAAAAAAAAAAAAAGCCACAGTACACCTCACTGATCAGGAAATTAGCATTGGTTATCACACTCCCGCCACACACATACTTCCACAGATCCCACTCACAGATCCTGCCTGTGCCAGCCATGCTCTTTATAGGTGCAGGAACCAATCGAAGGTCACACATTACATTTAGTTGTCTTGTCTTTTTAGCCTCTTTCAACCTGTAGCAGTTCCACAGTTTTCCAGGTCTTTTATGACCATCATGATTTTTAAGCATGGGCCTGTTACTTGGGAGACCATCCCATTGTTTGGGATTTTTCTAATGTTTCCTTGTCAATAGGTTCAGGTCACACATTTCTGGCAGGAATGTCACAGAAGTGATGCTGCGTTCTTCTTAGTGCATCATTTTGGAAGAGATATGATGTGGGTTTTCCCATTCCTGGTTAAAATAAAAAAGTTAACTTTAGTCACTTAGTTAAGGTGGTGACTGCCAGGTTCATCCACTGTAAAGTTAATTAGTGAGTATTTTTAAGAAGAGATACTTTGAGAATAAGTATGTAGACTCTTCTTATCAACACTCACCCTCCAGCATTAGCAGGGATGAATGATTCTTGCCTGAATCAGTTATTACTATGATGGTTGTCAAATGGCAATTTTCTGATTCCATCTTTCTCTACATTGATGAGTTGGCATTCTACTGTAAGGTAGAACTCCTATGTATGTACGATATGTGTATGTATTTCAGTATGGACTCATGGGTTCCTGTGTTACCTAGTGGGCTATAACTCTTACCATCATCATTTATTTTGATGCTCACATTGCCCCCAACTTGGCTATAGGACCCTTGTCAAGATGGATTCTGTGTCTTTTGGCCATGCTTCTGTCATTGCAGCACAAGATGGCCAGGGCTTGTATGTTTCCAGCTCCAGCCCTGCAGTCAGCCAGTCAGCCATTTCTCCACGAATGCCTGACTCCTTTCAGGAATCAATATCTGGTGCTGAATGCATTAATCGCTCCTGTTTTGTCTGGCTTCTAGGCCGTTGCAGCAGACAGAGCTAGAATATCTACATCTATGTACATGCATATTTATCTGACTATTAGAAGTCACAGTGCAGATCAATATCCCTAAACATAGTCTAACATTATATGGTTTATTCTATAGCCTCCTTCTTTCCATATTTGACTTCCATTCTCGCTGGTGAGGAACCTGGCTCTCATAGGATCAGTTCACTTGTTTTCTCAATCATGTTGTTTGTAACTAACCTCCTGAGCCCAGGAGCTATCTCCTTGCCAAAGCATTGTCAACTCATGCTGCTCCTTTCCTGCTGAGAAATTCCTCCCTCTTTGAGCCCTGAGAGTTTGCTCTACATTGATATTTTTGAAATTATGCATAAAGGGAATATTGTATTATCGATAAAGTTCATTGCAGGGTAATGGGGCAGTATTTTTATAATAACATATATATATGTATTTTTATAATAACATATATATATATATATGTATTTTTAATGCTATATCTTACCAACTTTTTTCTGTGTCCACCTCCTGAATGCTTCTTATATATCTTATCATCCATCCGTTTTCAATTTTATATGTCTGAAAAGTGACTTTATTTTTGCCTTTTCTCTAGAATAATAGTTTTGCTGGCTGTAAACACTGGAAAGTATTTTCTCCTTCAGCATTTTGAGTATGTTACTTCCTTCTCTTCTGGCATCTAATGTTGACTGTGGGAAGGTTGCTTTCAATCTAAATTTGATAGCCCTCTTTTTAAGGTAGATTTTAAGATTTTTCTCATGACCTTTAATGTTGTGTAGTTTCACTATAATATATCTAGGTGCAGATTATTTTTGTTTTCTCCGTCTGAATATAAGTGGAGGGCACATTGTTCTCAAGATTCTCAAATTCTGGAAAATCCTTCTCCAGATATTATTTCCATGACATTCCTTCCATTCTCTTCCTCTGGAATTCTTATTCAAGCTATGCTGTGCACCTCAGTCTATCCCTCCTTCTTTCTTAGCAGGTCTTTCATATTATGTTTTTCTCTCTGCACAGCCTCTGGGTGAACTTTTCGATACTATCCTTTGTTTTACTAATTTGCTTCCACCTCTGTTTTCAGGCTAGAGTTTATCCCATTATTGATTTAGAAAGTCTTTTATATCTGTTACTGTAATTTCCATTTCTAAGATTTCTCACTGGTTCGTTTTCATAACATTTTTGTGTGTCATTTTTGTCTCTTCCACATAGATTTTTGCTCATGTAAAGGATGTTATTCTTTCATTAATCCACCTAGACATACTTCCACACTTCTATAAAGGGATCTGGATTGATTTCTGTTTCAATTGCTCATTTTATTTGCTTTCATTCTTAATCTTATATTTCTTCACATGGTTTGTAATTCTGATTATGGCTTCATTTTCAGGGGAGATTTTATTAGTTATGTGTTACTTTCTTTTTTGCTCTTTTCTCTTGTGAATGTTTACTCATATCTGAGTGGTTATGCAGTTGACATCACATAATCCTTAATTCTGAATAGATCCTGTAATAGTGATTTTGGTTTCCTGCCCAATTGTATAATCAGGGAAATTATTGACCCTGTCTCTGAGCTAGTGCATACCTTAGTTGGTTCCTGATCTTGGGGCTGGATTCATATTTCTGTGCCTCTCCAGACGTGTAATCTGTTATAGGTCAGAGCCCCTGGGAGCCCTTCAGGGCATGTCTTTTCTGCCTCCTTTCTCAAGTAATATGTGTGTTTGGAGAGGGGAGAGTGGAAAATCCCTTCCTTAGCTCCTATTTCTAGTCCCCTGTTATCCCAGAGGAATTGAATACCTTGGTTTGGGTCAAGGTGTTCAGCAGTCTATGATTTCAGAGTAGTTTATGTTTTAGACTTGCAGTTCTGTTTCTGATCCATTAAGACATTCACTTATTTCTAAGCCTGGCTACATTTTTTTGTTTTGTTTTGGATGTATTATTGCTACCTGTTTGGAGCCAGGGTGTTAGTGTCAAAGTGTAAATTTACAGAGCTATTTTGATAGAACGTTTCTTATTTCCATTAAGCAAAGGTAACATTCCAGTAGGGAAGAAGATACTTTTTAACTTGCAGAAGTTGCTAGCACATATTCTCAAGTTAGAGCTATGGGAGAATTTATCTCCATCTCTCACAGAATAGCAGAATCCCGACACACATCACTAAGTTGGACCTTGCTTATCTCTCAGTCCAGGAAATTTTTCATGGCAAGTTTGATGCAAAGGATGCCTTTCAGTATGGTTCATGTGTGCAAAAACCTTCTCCAGTATATTTTTCTCTCTTGGTGGAGCACAAAGGGCATAGTCAACACACGTATGCTTAGTTTTAGAAAAAGCTCAAATATGTAAAAATCCAGCATCCCTTCCTACAAGAGCATAACATTAGTGCTCCTTAGGAAAGCAATTAGATTTTTCAAAACCAGGGCAATATTTTTAGGTCCTAAAGGGTAATATGACCCTTGCTCAGCACAAAGTTAGGGGTTTTTTTTAATGATGAAGTCCAATTTTGCCTCCTTGTAGCTGCCACTGTAATGACACAAATGATATTCTGAAATGAGAACTGCTCAGACATGGGAAGATGTTCAGTTGTACTTTTGAGTTTTCTCTTCTTTGTGCTAAATTCTTCTATTTTTTTCAGAACCGTCTTCTATAACTCAGATGTGTGTGTGTGTGTGTGTGTGTGTGTGTTTTAGCCATTTGGCATAGAGTGTTTATGCAAAGGTATGGGCAATTCTATAAATTCGAAAGTGTCAGAGACGAGGGTCCAGTTTGGTACCTTGCTCCAGCTTCCCTCAGCTGTGGAAAGGATTCATTTGGCTGTATGGCTGGTCTCATGGTATCAAAGAATTCAGTGTAATTCTTCAAGCCTTCCTTTGCCCCTGTTGCAACCTGGGAAGGGTTACTTGCAAACCACTTCTGTAGATGGGTTACATGGTGAATTGATTGCTGAACAGGTGGCAGGAGAGCAGTTTGATTTTTAGATATAATTCTGTTTTCTGCCTTTTGGCTTATTGCTGAAAGGTGTTTTATGCTGTAATTTCATTGTGGGATAATTTTGATTTCAATGCTTGTGAGTAGTTTGACTCTTTGTGTGTGTGTGTGTGTGTGTGTGTGTGTGTGTGTGTTTGCACAGATTGACATGGTGCATTGAGGCTATGTGAGGGCTAGGCAAAGAAAAACAGTGATGGGATTGTGATTTGCTAAACTGAGAAGCATAGGAGAGGTTCTCATCCCAGAGACCCAGCTTTGTACTGAATATTTCAGGAAAATGTTTCCCAAATAGTGCTTCATGGAAGGTTGTAACCTTCTGAGATAGTCTGTGAATAAAGTACTCTATGACCATATAATTTAGAAGTACCATATAGTGTGCCTCCTTCTTGGAGAAAACTTTATATCGGATCATATGGAAGGCTGTGAGACTTCCAGCAGTAAAACAATCTTTTTTTAACTTTCTTCTTTAACATTTATCATCCATATTTGGTCATGGAACTTGTTGAAAAGAAGACTGTAATACCCATTAGCATCCTGGAAAATTAGTACTCCATTTTGCATGCTCTGGAAAGTGCTTTGCTGAGCCACGTGGCATACATATGAATGTTTATGCTCTATGCATTTACTCACAATCATGCCAAATGCCCATTGTGTGCCTCGAGTCTGGGAGACAGCTGCTTTCTCTCATTGGGTAATTAATTTGAGAATTCATCTTACAAGGTACATCACCAACCTCCTAACAGTGTGGTCCTGGAGAAAGAAGACAACCAGCAGTTTGTGTCAGGAAACAGGAAAGAGCACAGGGGAAGGTGTCATTAAAATGAGGTGGAGTGAACCATGAGGCTATCTGGTAGAGCTTGTAAGTGAAAATTTATGAAAATGACTGATGTGATTTTCTAGGGAAAGAGAATGTGAACTGGAGATAGCCAGTTCAGCAAAGGCAAAGAAGAAGCAAGGAATGAATAGAAGGTGGTGGGGAATGAGTAGGTTCTGCATCCTGGCTGATGTGCCAGGGAAGTGTGTTGTTAAGGAAGAAAGAAGATTATTGTGGAGGGAGAGATTCAATGGACATCTGGGGAAGGAGACTCAGTCCTCACTGCAGAGTATGAAAGAGTCATGAATGGTGTTAGGGACCTCAGTACAGATCCCCAGGGAGGCCATGAAGGAGAGCAAATAGTCTTCATGGACCATGGCCCCTTTTTCTACTGTC
Organism: Homo sapiens; assembly: GCF_000001405.40. Taxonomy (NCBI): domain Eukaryota; kingdom Metazoa; phylum Chordata; class Mammalia; order Primates; family Hominidae; genus Homo; species Homo sapiens. The sequence continues at coordinate 23,149,389 of NC_000002.12, read as the reverse complement.
AGATGTACTCGAGGTAATTCCTGGCCTGAGTGGCAGCTGCAGGGAGGGAGGGTGGGGCCAACTGGGGAGAAGAACTTGGTGATTACAAGGTGCAGAGAGACACACACTAGGCAGTCACAAGGTATAGAGAGAAGAATCCAGCTCAATTCAATTCCTAGCATCATAGTGACTGGGATCCAGGTGTTTCTGAAGGGTACACTTCTGTTCAGGCCTCGCAAAAATTGGCTTCCCTTTTGTCCTAGACACAGCACTGGGGTTGTCAATGAAGTTCTTATCTGGAGGCTACGCAATCACCATCCAGTCATTAGGAGATAGAAACTATTGATCATTATTTGTCTGATGCTCGTTGCAAACAGCAGGCCTCCTTCTAATATCTTTATCCACTTCTAAGGCTGTCAGCCTATTGACTTTTTTTTTTTTTAAACAGTTGATTGGAGTGTGAGGTGCAGAAGAAATGATTTTTAACCAAACAATGGATAATTTGATCATGACACATCTGTAGAAGAGCATGGAGAACTTGTGATGGCTCTTCTCTGCCTAGTGAACGGGCAGGGGGTTGAGGGCTATCCACTGTTTATCTTATGATCTCTTCTCTTGATAAAGCCTAACACAAAGAAAGCACAAATGAAGAAAGCAAGGTTCAGTGAATGACCCAGAACTGGCCACATGACCTCCCTGGCCTTGGTTTACTCATGCGGGCAAGGAGTTAGTTGACACCAGATGTCGTCCTATGTTCTGAGGCTGTGGGAACAACAGGGCACTGCATGGTTTCTCTGCAAAGGCTGCTGAACCCATGGGGTATGGGAAGCGTAGAGGAGACTGAAGCAGTCCTTAGTCTCTGGTTTGCTGCAGAGAGCTCTGCACTGAAGCCAGCTGCAGGGAACTCTTACATGAGCAAGCACACAGGACCTTTCCTAAGGCAACCTCTGATTAGAAATACAGAGGTCCCTGGCAGAGGCAAAGGCCAAAGGTGCATGAGATGTTCTTTTTTTTTTTTTTTTTTTTAAATTAATGCTGTGTTATCAAAGAGTTATCACAGAGGGAGATCTCTCAGTGGGAGATTCATCAACAACACAATCAACAGGTATTGATTGAAACTTCTTGGGCTCAGGCTTATGCAGGTAGAGGAGGGATCCCGATGTCAGGAATCCTGGTCTCAGGGAGCTCAGTTTCCGTTTGGGTGATGAAGACACTCTCACATCAGACTGTTGTAGTCTGTATGTGCAGAGAGAGTCAGGACTGAGAGGTCATGAAAGATTTTCTGCAGGAAGCTGGACTCATTTTGAGTTTTGAAGGACAAATAGAGTTTAAGCAGCAGACAGAAGGAAGGAGAGGCTCAAGATGTCTGAAACAGTGAAGACACAGGTCTGGCTAGGGCAGAAGAGATCAGCTGGAGACCATGGTTGATGCCCCTTGATGAGTGCTGGTCATACTGTGTATGCATCTCTATTTATATGTTTAACAGCTTTACTGACATACAATAAACTTCACATACTTAAATTACACAGTATGATCAGGCTTGACTAATACATACACCCATGAGACGGTCACAACCATCAAGATAATGAACAATCTGCCACCCACAAAGGGCTCTTGGAGTCCGTTTGTAATTCCCTCCCTCCTGCCACTCACTGCTCCTCATCCCCAGGCAGCCCAGTGATCTGCTGTTGCTATAGATTCGTTTGCATTTTTGAGTATTTTCTATAAATGGAATCTAACAGTAGAAACTGTTTTGACTGGCCTTTTCCATGGGCATAGTTATTTTGATATTTATCCATGTTTTATGTGTATAAGAAGTTCATTCTCTTTGTTGCGGAGTAATATTCCATTGTATGGTTATAACCAACATTTGTTTATCTGTTTACAAGTTGAGGGACATTTCCAGTTTTTATTCATACAAGTAAAGCTCTTATAAAAGTTTGTCTTTACAGGTGCCTATGACCGTGTTGTTCTAGTATTGGATTCCTCATTTTCCTGATTTTCTTTGTACTTGTTCTGTCAGTTATTGGGAGATGAATGTTAATCTATCTGACTATAATTGGGGATCTGTCTATTTCCTCTTGAAGTTCTATCAGTTTTTGCTTCAGGTGCAAAATTATTTGCACAAAATAATTTTGAAGCTCTGTTATAAATTGCATCAACATTTAAAATTGTTATGTGACTCTGGTGAATTGACCCTTTTATCATTGTGACATCACCTCCTTTATCCTTGATAATATTCTTTGCTCTGAAATCTACTTTTTCTCATATTAATATAGCCATTCCAGTTTCATTTTAATATGAGCATAATATATACATATGTAATGTGTGTATATATATGTATATACATATATTTGTGTATACATGTAAGTTGAGTATTCCTAATCCAAAAATTCAAAATCTGAAAAGCTCCAATGAACATTTCCTTTTAGTGTCATGTTAGCACTCAAAAATTTCAGATTTTGGAGCACTTTGGATTTTGAATTTTCATTTGTGTGTATTTTCATTCTTCTACATTTAAGCCCTTTATGTCTTTATATTTAAAATATGTTTCTTATAGGTAGCAAATTTTGATCTTATGTATTTTTAATCCAATCTGACAATCTCTGCCTTTAAAAGAACTTTTATTTTGTGATAGATCATACGTAGTTGTAAGAGATAATAGAGAAATCTTGTGTTCCACTTGTTCAATTTCCCTCAGTATCATCTTGCAAAACCACATTACAATATGACAACCAGGATGTTGACATCACTACAATCCATCAAATTTGTTCAGATTTCCCAAGTTTTACTTGGGCTTATTTGTGTGTGTGTTTATAGTTCAGCCCAATTTGGTCAAATGTATAGTTTCACGTATTTGCTATTGAAATCAAGATGTAGAATAGTGCCACTAACACAAAGATCCTTTGTCTTGCCCCTCCCTCTCCACTCCACCCTCATCTTTAATGCCTGGCAACCACTAATTTGTTCTCCTTTTCTGACATTCATCTTTCACCATTAAGCATGATGTTAGCTGTGGGGTTTTTGTAGGTATTCTTTATCAAGTTGAATTCTCTTTAATGTCTAACTTGCTGAGAGTTGCGACGAATGGTTATTGGATTTTGTCAAATGCCTTTTCTGCATCATTTGATATTATCATATGGTTTTTCTTCTTTAGCATGTTAGTGTTATGGGTTACATTGCTTGAGTTTTTGAATGTTGAGTCAGCCTTGCATACCTGGACTAAATCCCACTTGGCCATGCTACATAATTATTTTTACACATCATTGGATTTGATTTGCTCATGTTTTGTTGAGGATCTTTGTTTCTAAGTTCATGGGAGACATTTGTCTGTAGTTTTCTCTTTTTTGTACTGTCTTTGTCAGTTTTGGTAATCTGTGTCCTTAAAAGGAGTATTTAGATAATTTACCTTATTGATTATGATTATTGATATGGTTAAGTTTAAATCTATCATCTTGCCTTTTGTTTTCTATTTGTTCTATCTATTTTTATGTCTCCATTTCTTCTTTTCTCACCTTATTTTGGATCGTTTAGTATTTTAAAATTATTCTGTTTTATCTCCTTTTTTGACTTACAGCTATAACTCTTTGTTGAGTTATTTTAGTGGTTTCTTTAAGGTTTACAGAACACTTTTTAGTTATTATAGCATACCTTCAAGTATATTATACCACTTCAAGTATGGAAAAAAATCCTTGTAATGGTAAAATCTAGGTCTCCCTGGACTTTCAGCTCCACCTGCTGTACCTAGAGGTATCTGCTGGGCCATGCCTAAGTTCCCTATCCTTGAGTCATGGCCTAGAGACTCTCTCAAGGCAGTGGACCAGGGCAATCATAAAACTCTTCTCATTTGCTCCTCCACTCTCAGAGATCACCAACCTTCATTGCCTCATGCACTGTGCCTTGAAAGCTATTCCTTCATCTGTGCTCTTTGTCTTGTTGTTTTGTTTTGTTTTAGGTAAGAGAATAAAGTTTCCTCTTATTCCTTCTTGGGCAGAAGCAGAAATCTTGCACTGTTGTTTTGATGTGGATTCTGTAGGCTTCACGTCAGAGTCAAACTGCTAATCCTTTCAAGGGCATCTCTGTTGTGGTCCAGAGAGAATGAAAGCATCAAGGCTACATGACATGTGTTAGGTCTTTCCCTTTAGAAAGATCCAGCCCATGCACTGGTACCTCACTGCATGGCAGATGTTCATGTGTGACGGTAGAGCCCGCTCCAGAAACAGCAGGTGGTTTGCACAAGGAAATTTGGTTATACATGTATTTAGCCTCGATTTCACTTATAACTGTTTGTGAATGAGACTAAATCCAGGACTATGAAATCCCACTTTTCACATTTATCAAATAAACAACTCTATGTCAAAGGCAAAGAGAATTGGAGAAAAGAAAGGTCATCAAATGCTTCAAGAATTGCTTAGTCTTAAATGCTGGAAGGTCCTCAAGAATAGCCCTCTGCCTTTAGGAAAGTCAGACACTCTTTTCTTCATTTTACATCTACTGGCAACTCCAGGTGTTAAGGGGCTTATATAGGGTCCCATAAGTGTGTGATGGAAACAGAACCATAGTTCTCTCTCCAAGTATATTACTGGCTTTTTCAGTGATTGTCTGCAGTATTCCTCCTCTTGCTCCCTGTACTATCTCTGGGGTAGTTTCCTGCCCCTAGCACTGCCTGTCCGCTTGCTAGGCAGCATGCCTCCTAAAGGCTTTCAGTGTTCTGCCTCTCCAGGTGAGAGAAAAACATGCTCCCCTCTGAAGTTTCTCTGGGCAGGCTTTAGAGCTACACAATTAACAATTTCCCTGTTCATTTTCCATTGCCTTGTGGTCCTGGCCTCTGACAGAGGATAGATGGCTGTATCTTAACAGCCCCCTCACATCATTTGTCATGTCCTGGCATGCTGACAACAGCCTCTCTGTTTCTGGAAGGCCAGAATCTAGAATGTCAGGCAGGGAAACTAAATAACTTTTCACCTTAGGACATAATTCCTTCTTCAGAGAGCTGCAGGCCACTGAAAGCTGGTGTGAGGGCATTGAGCCAGGGAAGCATGGAGCCTAGAATATAACTGTGAAGACTTTGTGATGATCAGGCTGGGTCTTAGAAAAGTGATTTGAAAAAATGACCTGGAAGCTGAGTAGGCAACGGGGCCATCCTCTTCCCCAAAGCAATGGGTTACAGTGCTCTGCTATCTTTCCGTGAGGTGCTGTCTGCTAATAGGGAATTTTCTATAGCCAAGAGCAACTGGAATTAATGGGACAAAGGGTTTGTATGGAGGACAATAATACCAAAGATATCACCAGTGAACACTGTTATAGGGATTTTCAAGAGCCAGTCCTAAGTCCTTTAGGTATATTTTCTTATTGAAGCTTTGCAACGACTCTTTGAGGCAGGTACTATTACTCTCCCTATGTTACAGATGAGAGCGAAGAAGTGGGAAAACTGTGATTCAAATCCTGACATTCTGACTCCAGAGTCTGTGCTCTTAAACTCAATGCCATGCTGTCCATAACTAAGAGTATAAAATTCCTCTTCTTTATCAAATCACAGTGTGGGGAGAAGTGAGCATTTAGGCAAGGAAAGGGTAGATTTCAATACTGGAGCAAAGAGAAGAAATCCCTTTGTTCACAGAATGAAATGGGTGCTTAGAAAACGGCACAGACTTGGTCCTTGGGGCTTCTGTGAGCTTCTCTGCTTTTCCCAGCCTCCCTTGATTTAGGTCCACCATGTGACCTGTTCTGGCCAATGAAATGTGTACAGAAGTAATATGAACCATGATGGTCATTACCAAGTTTCTTTTTCAGCACCATCTCTGAATCCTTGACAACCTTGAAGGATAACCTCAAGACCATAAGACCACAATAAAGTGGAACCATAAGAGAAGAGCAGCTTGGATCCCTGAATTGCTGCTTGGAAGAAAGTTGCCTAGGAGATCTATGAGCCCACATAGAACTTGGAGTATGCTGTAGACTTAGTTATGTCTTCTATATTCATGTGTTGAAGCCCTGATCTCCAGCTACTGACTACTGTTTTTGGAGACAGGGTCTATGTGGAGATAGTTAAGGTGAAATAAGGCCATAAGGTTAGTGCCCTTACCTGACAGGATTAGTAAAAACAGGCACTGGAGAGCTTTTTGTCTCTCTCCACCCACTCCCCCAAGCGCACACCCTGAGTAAGGGCCCTGTGAAGACATAGCAAGAAGGTGGCCATCTGTAAGCCAGGAAGAGAGACCTCATCAGAAACTGGCCCTGCTGGGGCCTTGATCTAGGACTTCTAGCATCAAAAACAGTGAAAAAATAAATTTCTGATGTTTAAGCCACCCATTTGTTATTGTGTTATGGTATTTTGTTATGGTAGTGTAAGCAGACTAAGACAGAATGAACGAAAAATACACTTGCATTATCTTAATCCACTGATATTTTCAGGGTTTATTTGTTACCACAGCAAAAACAAACCTGCCTGATTAATACATGGGCTTGAATCTCCCAGATTCCTTGTAGCCCTGTCTGTTCAAAGGCCCTTTATCTTGGGAGAAGGAGGACTGTTTAAGTCTTACAAAGAGAGACACTATCTGAAAAGCTAGGGAGGAACCATTTCCTGCAAGTCTTGTTCAGTCTTTTTTTAGCCTTTAGTAGGCTCCATGGGGGACATAAGAGAAGTATAAGGTGAAATGTGGGAGAGGATCTTAGTTTTCTAATATTTAAAATGAAGGGGTAGCATTGTTTGATCTCTAAGGGCTTTTGAACCTCTATAAATCTGTGATTTAAAGGCATGTTCTGGGATGTTAAATATTTAGAATTTTTCTGATGGCTAAGAAAGATATGTGCCAAGTACCCTCACACTTTAAAGAAATATGCTAGTCCATCTACAAAGCACCTTAAAAATAAGTGACCCCAAACTATTCTGCCACATTGGCTCATCACCCACCTCCAGTGTATAAAGAAAAAAAGGAGGGAAAGAGGAGGTCACTATAAGGATCCATCTGGGGAAAGTTGTGAACATCTAGTGAGTTGTTTCCCCCACAGGCCCTGTGGGAAGAGAGGTAGAGGCCCAGGAAGCTTGACATGTATTCTCTGGCCTTTGCTGGATACAGGGTCTGGACTCCGTTGGTCAGCTTGGGTGGAGGCAGCAAAGAGGGAAGAATGAGGCTGGGGAAATTGCCTGTCCTTCCAGGGTGTAACTAGTCTAGGGTGTGTGTTTCTAATAGAGCAAAGGAAGTTTCAAGGATGAGGTCTGCATGGAGTCTAGCTGTCCAAGGGGACCTGCTGGAGAGGTGAGAGGATGAGGGGACCCAAAGAGAGGGGTAGATTGCAAGATGACAGAGAATGAGGGAGTGCAACAGGCTATAGGAAGCATTGCTCTTGCAAGAGAATGCAAGGTTAGGGTTCCTATCCAACCCCTCATGAAGGAAAGGGTGAGCTTTGGACATTCCTTGTATTCTGAGAGCATCAGTGCTCCTCATTCCAGGAGGATCTTGCCTGCCCCCTTCTTCCCCATTCTCCCACCTGCACTCACTCATAGGGCCCCCATTCAGAACTGCAGAGCTGGGGAGGAGGGAGCAAAAGGAAACAGTGAGGTTGCCGGCTTCTCCCCTTGGGCTTCTGAGACTGGTCCAGTGGTGGGCCTGACCAGTAGTACATTGGAGGAGATTTTAGAATTTCAATATTACATAGAACTGGACTTTTCAATGTCCCGCTCCAAAGAGATTATTTGCTTTTAACCTGAGCGTTCACAAAAAATGTTATGAGACGTATTGGGTACTCATTCAGGAGCAGGGAGGAATTGCTTCATAGAATGGGCTGGAAGGGGCCTCTGTGACAAAGAATTTAGTGCTTTTTGTTTGTACTCTGTTGAGGCGGATTCATTCAGTTAACCAGTTACATTCATACAGTGCCTCACTTTTCAAAATTTGTTCATATGCATTATCTGTTTGCTACCTACCTACCCATCACCTGATTGGACACATGTTATCTGTGCATAACCTGTTTGAGACCAAAGTAATTTTTTTTGTTCATTCTCCTGCTGGACTTCAGATGTGGCCATTGCCACCTGGGACTAGCTCTGAGGACCCACTGGTCATTACTGCTGCCGCCCTCATATTTGGAGAATCCAGCCCACCAGCAGATAGAGGAGACAGCTGGGAAGGTTTCCTGGTGCTCTGGAAGCTCACCCTATTGACCTTCCTGGATGTCTAGAGAAGGGAGAATATGGTGCACCAAGGCATTCAGAATTTTTCAGGATAGAGGGACTCTTTTGTGCTTACAGGACTCTCCCTAGTGCTTATCCTCAATGTCCCCCCCTTGTGACCTGCTTTCTATGTGCAGCAAAGCCAGCCTTCTCATGATTCCCTGGGTATGTCCTGCATTTACCCACTTCTGAGGCTTTGTTCAAACTCATCTCTGTGCCTTAAATATCCTTCTCTTACGTTCATTTTCCAAGTCCTTTCTCCCAAGTCACATCAAATTCCTGTGCTCCTTCCCCAACCCAGAAGCCTTTCCTGAAGCTCACATGAGGGTTGATTCTGTCCTTTTTCCTGCAACACATTGTTGATGTTCTCTGTGGGTTCTCCATGGTCAGCATCTGCTTGGATCATGTCATCTGTGATGGTGCCTGTCTCTCTTACTGGTCTATGAGCTCTCAGAATGCAGAGATACAGCTTCATTCATTTCTGTTATCCCTGTGGGCACTCAGTGAATATCTGTTAAATGGAATTAAATTGTGAATTATCACTCGTAGGTGAATTTTAAAGGATGTGTGATCTAGCATGTCTCTCTCTCTCTCTCTCTCTCTCTCTCTATATATATATATATATATATATATATATATATATATACACACACACACACACACAAATTAATATAAAGGTGGGACTTGAACCCTCATATGTGTTAAACTCTGCTGGGGTATTTCATGACCTGTGTGAATCCATAGAAAATTCAGGTGTGTAAATTCTTTTAATTCATTGCTGAGCCCCATGAATCATTGTCTTTTGTGAAATTAGAGGGCCAGCTGCGTACATCTTGATTGGAAAAAAAGTGGGAAAGTTGGTAAACTGGCTAATACCCTCTACAGCCACTTTTTTTTTTTTTTTTTTTTTTTGCCAAGTAAACAAAAAGCTAACTAATTGGGGAAGTAGAGGCCAGATTGGGGAGAGTAAGCCCAGGTGTTCATAATTCTGGGTGGGTAAGGGTCCTTGATATCACAGAGGGGAAAGTCATATATTCAGCCAAGGCCTGGGGCTGGTGATAAGTGGTTCTCAGCAGACCAACTGGGGATTTGGGGAGTTTAACTCAAGCACACAATATGACAGCTTAGGAATGAGCCAGGGCATGGTTTTGAGCATTGTGATGTTTAGGATGAGCTGTATGTCAAAGATGATACCTTCTTCTTTTGCTAGGGGTAGGCGGTGGGTTCTGGGTGGATCTGCCGTCCAAATACAGAAGGGGTCATAGATGTGGTGACAACAGCCTCCATGATTACTTTTGCACCCTGTCATGCTTGGCACCCTGCTTGGGAGTGAGGCCTTGAAGGCAGAGTGGCTGGCAATCAGCCAGTGTACGTGGCTTAGGCTCTAACAGGGTTAGGCTCTGCAATTTTGCTTGCTTGTCGCTCTTGATCATTTTTCTCTTCTGCCTTTTATTTTTCCCCCAGACCTTTTGGTACCCAATGATTTTTGATTAATTTATTTACCATTGTTGGGTGATTGATGTTGTTTTGTGCTGGTACTTTGTAACTTTCCAATTCTTCTAGTTGTCAAGGTGACAGCCCCCTGATGATGAATTAGACCCTGTCCCTTGCCCTTTTTATTCTCCCTGTGTGCCAAGGCTCTTGGTTTTCAGCAAATATAAATATTTCTAAATGCAGACTTAATGACTGGAGTATACAACAAAATCCAGAAAGATCTATGACACTTTCATACTTCTTTACTTTTACACTGAAGTTCAATACATTGTGTTTTTTCTCTATCTGTTCTACTTTAGATTTGGGGAATCCACTTCCCTTTCGGGAATCCTCTAAGCTATTTTCCTGCTCCTCTGGCGTCTTCTCCTAGGCATAGTTTTCCTTTCTTACTTTCTTATCTCCTGTTGTCTCTCTGAATTAGGTGAACTCACATTCCTCTACATAATGCATAAGCATGGGATGGTGGTGAGAAAAGATACTTTTATTTGTTAAGTCCTTATTTGCCTCACACAATGAGAGGTACTTTTCTATTAAGGTTATAAATATTTATTGAGGACCTATTATGAGGCGGGAAAACCCCAAGAACCTTTGCACAAGGTAGTCATGTTAATCTCCATTTTATAGGCAAGGGAAGTGAGGCTCTGGGAGGGTAATCAATATGTTTTAATTCATACTAGTAGGAAATAGTAGAGCAGGGATTTGAGCTCAGTCGGTCTGGTGTTAGCAATTTGCATTGTTTTCCATGACACCGTTCTGAAGGTGACCAGGGATGGATGAAGGAACTCCTAGAGCCTCAGAATTTGGAAGAAACCATAAACTTTCTCTACAAGGGTGGTTCTCAAACTGGTAATTAGATGCATGCTTGATCAACTACATAATAATCACAAGGAATGCTCATTAAAATAGAGATTCCTGGGCCTTTCCACAATTGTTAAGTCTGGTTTGGCCCAGAACTTTTTTTTTTTGAGATGGATTCTTGCTCTGTTGCCAGGATGGAGTGCAGTGGCGCAATCTCAGCTCACTGCAACCTCTGTCTCCCGGGTTCAAGAGATTCTCCTGCCTCAGCCACCCATGTAGTTGGGACTACAGGCATGCGCCACCATGCCCAGCTAATTTTTGTATTTTTAGTGGAGATAGGGTTTCACAGTGTTGGCCAGGATGGTCTCGATCTCTTGACCTCGTGATCCACCTGCCTTGGCCTCCCAAAGTGCTGGGATTACAGGCGTGAGCCACCACGCCCAGCCAGAACTTTTAGTTTTAAAACATTGCCTATGTTATTCTGATTCTCAACCAGGTGAGTGAACCAGTGCAATAAGCCAACTATTATCTAGAGCAACACTTTTCTCGACACCTTCATGAGAGATGTTCATCTTGCTTCCGGGGTAAGGAGCACAGCCTATGTTGTAGCTTCCAGTAGTGGGCAGCCCTTAATAATTTTGGAAAATTCTTTCTCACATTGACCTATCACCAGTTTCTCTGTAACCATAGTATGTGATTCTTATAATGCAAATCATAGGCACTACTGATTGTGCACTCACTGTGTGCAGACTCGTGCTAAATACTTTAGCTCTATTTTACCACTCAAGTGCCTCAGCAACTCTCTGAGGTTGGTATTATCATCATTCGTATTTTGCAGATGAGATCATTTCATCCTGGAGATACAAATGATGTGTGTTTCTTTCATCTAGTCTCTATAAGCTCTTCAGATGTTTGCAGGTAACATCCTTCCCAATCTCTCTGGCTGATAAAATGAAGTAGCAATAATTCACTATGACCAAAAATTCACCAGTTGCTGATTTTTTCCAAGGCAGGATGCTAACTTTGCAGAGATGAAGGAGATCCCCCTTTTTAACAATCTACAATTGGGGGGCAGGGGGGACAGAGAGCATCAGGATAAATAACTAATGCATTTGGGGGTTAATACCTAGGTGATGGGTTGATAGGAGCAGCAAACCACCAGAGCATACATTTACCTTTGTAACAAACCTGCACGTCCTGCACATGTATCCAGAACTTAAAATGAAATAACATTTTAAAAAATATGAAACAAAAACCATCTACAATTGAGTGAGGGAGACCCAGGTAAACTTGGACTCAGTTTTGTGTGTGAGCCTTGCCTCTTTAAGTGGACTATGAGTCTTTGTGGGCAGAGCCTCCAGATTCTCCCATTTTCTTCCCTACAGTAGGAGCGTTTGAATGCATGATGGGGACTTAGTAAAGACACATTGTCCTGGATTGATTTGGGAATATGTCATCAAGCAAACTCTTTTTTGGCTTTCGTGTTTCCTAGGTGAGTCAAGTGATTGGACAGAGGGTATGAGGCTCTTCCTGGATTCCTAAAGCCTAGGCCTTTGAGAGGGCTCATGAATTTCCTTGGAGTCCCTGCATCTGTGATGTGAGGAATGTCTCCCTGGGAGATACTAGCTGCCCACAGTTTCCTAAGCAGGAAGTAACATATCACAATAGATAAAATGCAGGATTTATAAGCAAAACCATGTGAGTATCCTATCTACATCATTGACTTTCTCCATGGTCTTGAATCTGTCTTTATTCTATGCCTTCACTGTTGTCATCTGCCAAATGGGAATACCAATTCTTTATCAGTTCTTAAGGATATGCAGAAGGAAGTATTAGTTATTATTAATGTATTTTAAACTACTTGATGACACTAGCTGCATGCATATAGATCCTTCTTGTTTTAAACAAGAGATGCTAAACAAAACCAAGAAATATTAAATTATACATTTACAGAAGAGATAAATTATAGAGGTAGTTATTATTTAAATTGCAGAAATATTTCTCATTTTCAGCCCAGGGTTCCTTTACAAAGCAATCTGTCTTGTGCTTTTAAAAAAAGTAATTCAATTTACAAAAATTTGATTTGCATACAACTTTTTAGAAACATTTATCATGTAAAGTGAGACATCATCCGACTAAATTAGAGAATTTACCAATATGTCTTGGCTTAGGATAAATATCACTTCCTCCAAGGATGGGAATATTGGCAAATTGAATCTCGCTTCTCCCCTTCTCAAACTGAGACTGTCTAAGCCCAGGTTTGAAGCATCTGGTCTGAGAATTAGTAGCCATGATGGAAATACTTGGATTCATGATCTAGATCTGCCAATAAATCACTCATGACCTCAGCGAAGTCAGCTTCCCAAGGCCTCAGTTTTCTCATCTGGACAATGAGATTATTGGAGTTTATGTTCCTTCCAGCTTTAAGGTTGTTCAATAGTACTCATTGCTAAAAGAAGTGATCTGAAATTACAAAGGGCAAGACCTGGCATCCTGTCAATGTGTAATAAATCGATACATCATTCGCTGAATAAAATTATGATGTTCATTTATTTCCAACCAATTCTCCAAGTTGGAGATGCTCCAAGTTTATGATAAAGAAAACAACATGAGTTCAGAAAACCCTTTTTCTTATTCTTCGCTGACTTGATCTCTCTTGACGATTTCTTGCATCCTTAAGTGTGGTGAAAAGAAGATTGGTTCTGAGCAAATATTGGGGTCCCTCTGTCGTAAAGGAAAGAGTCCTGCAAACTGAAATGCTGAGTTAATCCTAGATCACTACTGTGCCTTTTACATTTCAACTGATTCAATTGCAGGTGATAGCTGCAAGTAGCTAAGAGATACAGAGACATGGTGGCAGCTCATTCTCCTCTCCTCTTCCCCAGTTTCCCCACCCAGGCCAGCGCCTGCCTTTGCATTTGCTGCTGCTGGCCAGTGTGCCAGCCTCCTGTCAGCCTCAGTCGTCTGTGCCTCCCTTCCAAGCCATGAATCATCAGAGGTGCTGTCGCTTCTCCAGCTTTGCATTCCTGGCAGAGGTGTTGTTTCTTCCTAAAAGTGGAGGGGAGGGAGTTGCTAAGGAACACCATTAACATGCTGACAGCACAACAATCTCAGAGAGTTTTGGCCTCAGCCGTTTGACTCTAATCAGGAAATCATTTTTAGAAAGATTTGTCAGTGTAAGAAAACAAGCTCCTGAACTAAATTAGGATCTGGATTATTTTTCCCTCCTCTCTCGATCTGCAGTGCAAGGCAGAGTGGTGAGCCATCACGGTTTTGTGTGTGGTGAATTTGTTTCCACTGCACATTTTAATTCGGAGCTCCTGAAGGTGTCTGTGTTTGTAAGGACTGTGTTTTTGGAGCTGCTCCCTCGGAGGTTTGGTGCTTGTTTCTCCTTCCCTCAAACTGGTTGGCTTTTTTGGCAAGACCGCCTAGGCTTCAGGATTCTTTAGTCTAATTTTCTTCTCCTTTTTCTTTTTTTTTCACCCCAGTAATGAATTCACGGCATGTCTCTGGGAAATTAAGGTAATCCATTATACTGTTGTCTCCCTATCTTTGAAGCAGGGATAATAGTATTTAACCCACCTTTGCAGTATACTGAGTGGCCTGTCAGGGTTTCTTCTTTAGAAGGACAGCTTGAAAACATTTTAATAAATGCTCCTTAACTGCATGCTTTAAAAATACATGGGATCAGGTGGCAAACAGCTCAGTAATAACTAGTTCAGGGAACCAGACTAGCCATGTATCACTCTCTGCTACTTCCATTTTCTCCTCTTCCTCTCCCTTTGGGGAGAGGACATTTCTCCTCCCCATTTCTTCGGGGACATGCTGTCTCCATTTGGGGTTTCAGTCTTTGGGGATAAGCTAGAATTTTGTTAGTTACAGACCAGTCCCTGCTGCCCCTGCAAATCCAAACATATTTAAGCTGCAGGAGCAAGTGAGTTTCATGTCCTGTAATGCCTCCAACAGACAGCACTTAAGGATGGAGACCTAAATGCCAAGCTCAGTGGTGTTGCACAGATGAAGTGTGGGACTGGACTCGTGTTCTCCATGATATGCCTGAGGTTTTGTTTCCAATACAACTAGGGACCTAATCATACTTAGGGATGTCCACTTGTGCATGTCAGTGCTTTACTCACAATCACTCTTCATTTCATGAACCTCAGGCCTGAGACTGGAGTGTCATTCCTGAAGAACAGGGTAGAGCATGCTTTCTAACTTTATCTTCGTATCTCCTTTTCTATGAAGATAAAGGGGTGGGAGTGCACAGACTTTCCATGGCCTGAGGAAAATGCTACCCAGAGTGCAGTGTGAACCCATCCTAGGGATGAGCAAATTCAAGGCTAAGCCCTTGTGTGATCTGCAGGACTGGCTGCTGAAAGGGATCCAGTTGTGAATGAAGGCTTTAGATGTGACTCTTATCTGCACTCAGAGACCCCAGTATTCAGCCATTAGAGATTCATTCCTTCAGGTGTGGGGATCTTTGGGAATTTTCACTTCGGCTCTGAGAAAAAGATTCTCCTGGGGTTTGTGTGGATCCTTCGGGCTCCTCTCATTGGACAGTCGTATGTTGAAAAATGCCCCTCCAACCCTCTTCAGACAGAGACTTCTGAATATAGACTTTATCTATAAGAGGACCTATGACCCAAATAAAAATCCAAGTAAACCTGAATTTTCTCATTTCTCCAACTTATACGAGTTGAGTTGATGATTTAGACAAATTGAGAAAAGTTGAGTTTAGATGAGTTCCCGATGAAAAAAATAGGTGATGCAGGAATTGCTCCTGCCCAACCTCAGAACGACCACATGTGCAGGATCCAGGGACAGGTCAAGGCTGACGTTCCCAGGAAGAACAATGATTGACGTGTTTCACTCTGAACTCCTGGGATACGTACTCCAGAGAACCTACCAGTAACTGAGCTCTTGAACAAAACTATGGAGCTGTTGAATAAGGGCTTCTCTCGTTGCTACGTAAGGTTAGGGGACTAGATCTAGAGATTAGTTAGCTCAGTGGATTTGTGTGTATGCACACATGTATGTATTTAAGCAACAGAAACCTTTCCCTGCCCATTTATCTTATGTGGAATGCCTACATATTAAACAGATAAAAGTAGGGCCATCTCACTGAAGTGGAGCAGGGGGTAGAGAACTAAAGTCTCACCATGTGGCCCTCCCTTGCCTGTCCATCCCCACATGATCTTCTCCCTGCAGCTGCTCCCAGGGCATTTCTGTGGAATCCTAGGGCTAAACACACTTGCCACGCTTTACCCTTGCACTTCACAGATGAAGTCACTGAGGCTCCGAGAACTACTTTAGCTTGCATTGCACGGTACACATAGGAAATGATCAACAAATAAATCAAACACATCCATTTTTTTAACTGTGAGGTGAAGAGTTACACTAAAAGAGCCAGAAATGTGCTGTGAACCTAGGTTTTTGCCTTCAGTGGAAAGGAAAGGGATTTTTGGTCTCCTCTCAATTTTCCCTGCTTCCAGGAGCCCACTCACTTCCTTCTGGGCTGTCACTGCTGTTTACACAGTGTAGCTGGGACTGAGATGAACCCACAGGAAGGGACTTTCCTTTGGTGCTAATGCAGGAAGGAACATGGCATCGATCTATCTGCAATTATAAGCTCAATGTGTTTCCCTTGAATTTTTAGACAAACCAAAGGTACTTTGCAAGCGCAGTAGAGCTTCCAATTAGGCATTTAAGTTCCCCATTTCTATTTCCCTAATGACTTGACTTGCTCTTTTGTTTTATGAAATGAAAATAGCTTTATTTGGGCATGAGAATGCAGCTGATTGCATGCTTAATGTGCTTTTGCAACAAGTTTCTGTTTCTAGTATAATGCAATGGACAGAATAATACATTTCCATGCTTTTTTTTTTTTCCTACATATTCATGGTCATTTGCTCCAGCTCCATCCCATGCTGAGGGTGGTGCAGTCTAGGTAGGAATGTACAGAGGGCTGGTGTTTTAACGCTCCAGAAGGAAGGCCATCCTTGAAGTGAAGGGAACTGGCCCCAGGGCCATTTTTTGTGGGGGAGGATATAAGGTTATGACTTATTAATATGGTTTGGATCTGTGTCCCCATCCAAATCTCATGTTGAATTATAATTGCTAGTGTTGAGGGAGGGACCTGATGAGAGGTGACTGGATCATGGAGGCAGATTTTCCCCTTGCTGCTCTCATGATAGTGAGTTCTCACGAGATTTGGTTGTTTAAAAGCGTGTAGCACTTCCCCCTTTGCTCTCTGTCTCCTGCCACTATGGTAGACGTGTTTGCTTTCCTTTTGCCCTTTCACCATGACTGTAAGTTTCCTGAGGCCTCCCAGCCATGCTTCCTGTGCAGCCTGTGGAACTGTGAGTCATTTAAACCTCTTTTCTTCATAAATTACCCAGTCTCAGGGAGTTTTTTTTTTTTTTTTTATAGCAGTATGAGAATGGACTAACACACTTTATCAAGTTCTGAATGGTAGGAATCAGGGATGGTCCTGGAGAAAAATCACTCAGAAGAGTGAAAACAGATGTGGAGGACAAGAAGAGGGCACTGAAAGACATCAGCTGTGTTTTAAGAAAGCAATAGCAGGAATAAAGAACCTTTCTAGATCAAGCTCTGTGAAGGTATTAGGGTTGAGTTAAGAAGGTTTTTCTTCATTGGAGGAATAGACCTGAAAGTAAAAGCTGTACCCATTTCCAACTTTATCTGTAGCTTTGAACACTGCACAGAGTCAACTCTAGTTTCCGGAAGGCCAAAGGTCTTTCATTCTTTGGCTTTTTGGTTTGCAGAAAACCTTGCATCATCTGTGGCCCTTAAATATTTCATATACTTGGGAAGCACTTTGGAAAGGCACTCTAGAAGCTCTCCAGTCTTCTGTCTACCCAAATCGTCCCCTTCCTTCCAGCCCTGCACAAGCAGAGAAGCTTTCTGGGATGTGGCAGCCAGTGCTCTGCGCGCCTAACACTGTCATTCTGCACCACGTCATCCACACTGTCTGGCCACATCATGTCTAAAAACATATCCTTTTCTTTTCTTCTCTGGTCCTCAAGGGTGAACAGCTGGGCACAGGCTGGCGTCCTAGGAGGCCTGTCACATGCCTGACAGGAAGTGGAAGCATGATATTGGGAAAGCTGGAGCCAACACAGCCCTTCTGGCCATCCTAGTGGGCAGTGGCAGGTTGAGAATGCCCTCAGGTTTTCTGTTGCTTCTGCCTGGGTGGGGCATCAAGATTTTCACATGGCTTGTTAAATGCAGAGCTCTCCTTGGAGAGGACTGCGGTTGTGCCCTTGTTGTCTGGGTGATTTGCAGAGTAGGGCATAATCTATCTCTGCTGTGGTCTGCAGCTGCTCTTGGCTTTCTTGTCTAAGGTGCCCTTGATTAGACCTGAGATTATAGAGGACCTTGGCCACTGCTGCAAGGCAGATGTGGCTAAAAAATAGAAAAAGGAAAGGAAATCTCACATGCTTTGGCCTCTTCTTATTTCTGGGAACACCCTGAGCCTTCCTCAAAGCGCATCCCGGTGCTGGCTGGCCTGCTGATGGGAAGGCCTGCTTTACAAGTCTGAAGGAGACCCCGAGGTCATTGTGTCCATTCCCCTGCCTTCAGGCAGGATTAGAGATAAGCTGCCTCTGCCAGAAGATAATCTCTTCTACTTGTAAAAGCTTCCAGAGCAGACCGGAATCTCTCTAGAGACCATTCATTGCAACTTTTAACAACTTTCACCATCAGGAATTTCTCCCCCATAGCTATCCTAAATCCCTTATACTGGGGATTAAGCTCCTTTTCTTATTCTATCCTCAGTAGCCACTGCCAAGACTTAGCCTGCACTGCCTAAGAACTCTTCTGATACCTGAAGATTGCATGAAATCCTGCCTGCCTGTCTTCCCTGATGAATAATCCCAGCTTCCTTTTCTCCCAGGCCCTGCAGCCCAGCCTGCTTGTTACCTGTGAGGCCGCCCTCAGATTCCCTCTAAGTGTGAATTCCCCTGGTGGGGAGCCTAGACCAAGCACAGGAGTCTAGTACATTTCTGGCCCATCTTAGGTATATTGAGAATCTTCTTGGAGCCCATGGTGTGGACAGCATCTTCCTGTTCATGCACTTGAAAGGGGTTTGTGTGTTAGTGACGGTCCTATTCATGGGCCGTGGTCACCCTTTACCCCACCAGAATACTAAATTGTTTTTCTTTACTCTTCTTAGATGTTCAGGGCAAATTGTATCATCTTCCCCACAAATGTCACTGCATCCTTTAATGTCCACCAAATACTGACCACTGTCACCACCAGAAATAAGGATGAGGCAGAATGATGACAGTTCTGAATGCCTGTGGCTCTTTTAGAAGGTTTGGACAAAAGCAAGCAACCTGCATTTACAGAGCCAGCAGCCTGGTGCCACATCTGATTTAGGCAGAATCACCTTCTTGGTCTGGTTGCTTTTTCTTTGTTTCCTCTTCTCTGTCCTCTCTGACCTTCTGATCTTTCTGTGCTCTTTTTGGGGGTGCCAGAGCCCTCATACTGTGCCCCTCCTACCTCAACAGCACTGGTGAGTCCTATATGCCCCTCCCCGAGCACACTTTGCCCCATGCCTACCCCAACCCAGACTAACTCCCATTTGCTGCTTTCTGCGGATCTCAATTCCAAACCACCAAGCAAGTCCTGAGTGACATGCACAGCCAGAATGTGCTCCCTCTGTACTAGGTGGCGACAAAGACAGGTGAGATGGCCAACCTCCTCAAGGGGAATGTAGTTGAGACAGGGACTGAAGACTCAGGCATGGCAAATTCTAAGCAGCAAATATAATTTGATCTACTTTGCCATAGAAGAAAATAGATGTCCAAAGGCAGTCCACCCACAAAGGCTAAATGAGTTAGGCAGGCATTCAGTGCAGTGGACTACAGGCTGGGTATCAGAGGGAGCTTCCTGGAGGAGATTGGCTTGGGTGCAAGCTGGGCCTTGGGCACAGTTGGGTATAGGGTGGGCCTTCAGTGGAAGAGACAGAGGCTCTTGATTGGCTCAGGGTTCCTTTTGTGCTCCTCCAGCACCTCGATCTTTCCAACTCTCTCCATCTCTAGTTTCTGGAAGGAATTCTCTTCCTTTTCATTCCATTAATAAATAAAAATATTTAATAAGCATCTTCTTTTTTTTTTTTTTTTGAGACGGAGTCTTGCTCTGTCACCCAGGCTGTAGTGCAGTGGCGTGATCTTGGCTCCCTGCAAGCTCCGCCTCCTGGCTTCACGCCATTCTCCTGCTTCAGCCTCCCGAGTAGCTGGGACTACAGGTGCCCACCACCACGCCTGGCTAATTTTTTGTATTTTTAGTAGAGACGGGGTTTCACCATGTTAGCCAGGATGGGCTCGATCTCCTGACCTCGTGATCCACCCGCCTCGGCCTCCCAAAGTGCTGGGATTACAGGCGTGAGCCACTGCGCCTGGCCTAATAAGCATCTTCTAAGTGCTAGAAGTATCCCAGTCCAGAGGCTTCCTGAAATGTGCTGTGGCACACTAGGGGGACTGTGACTGGATTCAGGTATGCAGGACTTTGGTTCTCTCAGTTCCTGGGCTGGAAGAGCAGAATCTGCTTGGGTTGGTGGGGCTCCTGGGCTTTGATCATCTTTAGTTGCTGAGCAGTCACATTGGTTGACCACACTGCACTCTGTAGTACAATCATTTTCTGCATGTACTGTATGTGGTTGCAGGTAGTATACCAGGTCTCGGGATGCAGAGATAACAAGACAGGCAAATACTCCAGTGGGGGTACGGTAGGCAGAATTCTAAGATAGCCCCCAAGATTCCCACCCGCTGGTGAGCATGCCTTGTGTAACCCTCCCATCCCTTGGGTGTGGAGGTGAGCTGTGAATATGATCGGACAGTCACTGCCATGTTTAGGTTATGTTACATGCCACGGTTGACTTTAAAGGTGATTCTGCTGGGTGTGCCTGACATAATCAGGTGATCCCTTCAGAGGGCGTGAGCTTTTCTGGGTGAGAGATATTCAGAGTGTGAGAGGGATTTGATGTGGAGAAGAGTCTTCCATTTCCAACCTTGAAGTTGGAGGGGCCGTGTGGCAGGGAATGTGGGTGGCCTCCAGGAGCTGAGGGCAGACCCAGGCTGACTGCCTCCAAGGAAATGGGAGCCTTAATCCCACCACCACAAGGAACTGAATTCTGCCACAGCCATGTGAGCTTGGAAGAGAAGCCCAAGTGGTAGATGAGAATATAGCCACTTGATGCCCTGATTGCAGCCTTGTGAAATCCTGAGCCAAGAACTCAGCCACTCTGTGTCCAGACTCTAACCTAGAGAACTGTGACCTGGTAAATGGGTATTGTTCTAAGTTGCTGAGTGTGTGGTCACTTGTTTTGCAGCAATAGAAAATTAATACATGGGGAATATAGAAAAAAGTAGTCATGAAAGATTAGAACAGTGGTAAGAATTTTGCAGAGGATTTAAACCCAGGAATGTAAGATAGAGTGGGCACTGTGACTTCTTTAGAAGGGGTGGTCATGTGAGGCATTGGGGAGGTGTCAGGAAGGACCCAGCCTGGCGATGATCAGGGGAAAGAGCAGTCCAGGCCCTGAAGCTGCCCCAAGCCTGGTGTTTTCCGGGTACAAAAAGCAGAATAGCATGGCTGGAGTGTCTAGAGAGGCAGAAACCAAGTCAGATAGGGATTTTTTTAGAGTGAGCATGAATTTTGGATTTATTTTCAATGTAGAGGAAGCCAAGGAGGATGGTAAGCAGGGGAGGGACACATCTGCACAACCTGATGTATGCTTTAAAAGATTCCTGCAGACCCTGGCTGGAGCTTGGGTTGCAGCTGGGGAGTGTGGGAGCAGGGAATTTGATGAGAAGGACATTGCATTGTCCAAGTGAGCCCTGCTGGGCTCTGGGGCTGGGAAGGTGGAGGAGAGATGAGCAATGTTGACTTAAGTGGTTTTCCCTTTCCCCTTTCTTCTCTTTATTTCTTTTTTGTAACCCAATTCTGTTCTCCCCTGCTTTTCTCCTTATACATTTGCACACCCTCATGTTTTCCTTTAAGGGCATAGGACAGCCTCTGACCCTAGTCATGGTACATTCTCCCACGGGCTCAAGGCTGAGCAGATGGAATGGGTGTATGGGATCTGGAAAAACATAGGGCAGAGGAGTGAGAACTTTCCTCAGCGCCTGGTTCCTGTGGGCAGCTCTGTGGGGCACAGCCCAGGCTTAGTCAGGCCCTGGGCATGGGGAGATCTGTTCATACTCTGCTGGGAGTTTGTCCTTTGTACCTCAGTGTTAGGCCTCCCCAGAGGGACTTGAGTATAGGAATTGAAACTTCTGCATCTGTCTACCTGGTGCCCGGCCCATTCCGCCTGTACTTTGAACATGGGAGGTACTTGGTAAATGTTTGACAATAGATAATGGCAAAATCTAGTGTTGATAGCGCTGACTCTGGCCAGAATGCCATATGCCAACTACCATGTGCCAATTTGCCATTCATCTGTCCCTTCAATTATTCAATTCTTACTCCATAAATATTTCTTTGGTGTCGACTATGTGCCCCACTTTGTACTAGAGGCTGTGCTTACCCTATGCTACGGACCAAATGTTTGTGTCTTCCCCATCTAAATTCATATGTTGAAACCCTTACCCTCAACTGGACAGTATTAGGAGATGGAGCCTTTGGGAGGTAGTTAGGTCATGAGGGTGGAGACCTCATGAATGGCATTAGTGCTCTTATAAGAGATGAGAGTGCTTGCCTCCTCTCTGTCTGCTCTTTGCCATGTGAGGACACAATGAGAAGATGGCCATCTGCAAACCCAGAAGCAGGCCCTCCCCAGACACTGGACCTGCCAGCACCCTGATTTTGGACTTCTCGGCTCTAAAACTATAACAGATAAATGTCTGTTGTTTAAGTCACCCAGTCCATGGTATCTTACATAAGCAGCCCTAGCTGACTGAGACACCGTATCAGTCTAATGGTGGATCTTTTCTTTGAGGAACATGCATTCTTTTTAAAAAGTTTTGAAAACTTTTTAAAAACTATTTTTATAGATTCAGGGGGTCCATGTGCAGGCTTGTTACATGGATATATTGCATAGTGCAGGCTTGTTATATGGATATATTGCATAGTGCAGGCTTGTTATATGGATATATTGCATAGTGCAGGCTTGTTACATGGATATATTGCTTAGTAGTAGGCATTGGGCTTCTAGTGTACCCACCACCTGAATATTAAACATTGCGCCCAATAGGTAATTTTTCAACCCTCATCTCCCTCCCACCTGCCCCCTTTTAGAATCCCCAGTGTCTAGTATTTTGAGGAATGTATTCTTAAAGGGAAGACAGATTTTAAAGAAAGCACAGAAACAGTGAATCCAAGAAAACAATAACAAATGGAGGTAAACATAAAGGAAATAAACAAGGAAACTAAGTGCTTGGACCTGGAGACTCCCAGAAGGACTAACTCCAAGTTTTGAAGGTATAATTTAATAAACAAACAAATGTACGAATTGATAATTTCCTTTCCCCTGGATTTGCTGTATTGTGCTCAATTTCTCTTCTCTGAGTCTATTTCTCCTGGGAAGAGGACTGTGAGTGTGGGCAGATATTCAAGGAAGGGGTTTAAGGAGAGGGTAGCAATTTCCAGTTTGCATTTTAGAGACACCTGGCTGCAGTGGGGGTGGGGTGGGCTGCATATTAGGACAGAGACTATTCCAGTGTTAGAATGTGAGGGAGAAAAAGATGGATTTGAAGGACATTTAGGAGACATAGGGCATGGAGGTTTGCTGGTTAAGGAAGAAGGAAGCTAAAGGTCAAGGGTCAAGAACCTTTTCTAGGTCTCTCTGATTTGGGCATCTGGCTGGCTGGAAATGCTAATTTACTATGAGACATTAAGGATAAAGAGCTAAGGGCCGTTTGCAGTGGCTCAAGCCTGTAATGTCAGCACTTTAAAAGGCTGAGGCAGGCAGTTCACTTGAGCCCAGGAGCTCAAGACCAGCCTGGACAACATGGCAAGACCCATTTCTACAAAAATACAAAACTTAGCTGGGTGTGGTGGTGTGATCTGTAGTTCCAGCAACTCAGGAGGCTGAGATGGGAGGATTGCCTGAGCCCAGGGATGCTGAGGCTACCGTGAGCCAAGATTGCGTCACTGCACTGCAGCCTGGGTGACAGAATGTGACTCTGTCTCAAAAAAAAAAAAAAAAAAGCAAATGGGTAGGGGAGCATTGTGAGAATTTTAGTTTTGGGTCGGTTTTGTTTTGCTGCAGGCTCTTGTGCATTAGGAAGTTTGTTAACACCTGTGATGTGCTTAGGAACAAGATCGGGGCTGGAGATGCCAGTGAAGAGGCTGTGACACATAGACACAGTAAGGCAGGAAAGTGAATGAGTAGAAAGGAGAGCTGAGGATTTACCACTGAAAACCACATTTAAAGATGGGAAAAAGAAAGGAGATGGCAGAGCAAAAAGTACAATGTTCAGGAGAGGAAATAGTTAAGGGAAAAGTGAATTGCCTTGGGCAGGGGGACACGTGGATCTGGAACGCAGGTGATGCTGTTCAGGTAAAGCAGGAGGACATGGCTTCCCTCAGAGTGGCCCAGGTAGGTTTGTTTACATGCGGGAGGGAAGAGGAGAAATGCCCATCTGACGCTTTCTATTTTCTCTGTAGGTAGGAGGTGAGGTAATCTGTTCATTACGACTCTTCTCATTTTTTTTTAAGAAGTGAAACTCTAGCACAATAAAATACTCCCAGGAAGGAGGCTGCCACGCTAGAGGGGTTGCACATGTGGGAGAGGAGGTGAAGCAGTGGAGTGGGCTGTGGGAAGAGGAGGCCATCTCAGCCATCTTTTCAGAGGAGAGGGTGGGTAGAGATTCAGGTGGTGCATGCATGTGTGTTATATGTGTATTGTGTGTATATGTTGTGTGTTGTCTGCGTGTGTTGTGTGTATGTGTAAGCAAGGGACTCAGGAGTTTGCGTTTGCTGCCTGCTACATGTATGTGACATTGGAGGTACGGATCTCCTGGGAATGAAGAAGCAGGTGGTGGGAAAAAGAGATTGGTGAGTGGAGAATGCTTGCTGTCGCCTTGTGGAGCAGGAAGGAACGAGCTGGCCAGGGGACTTTCTGGTAGCACTGAGCAGGTGTCTGCACATGGGCCACAGAGCTGCAGGAGCAATTTCAGACCACAGTCCTTCCGAGTCTAGAACCAAGCAGGCCAAGACCGTTAAAGCCTTGGCCTCTAGAGCACCTTCTTTCTTCCAGGCCTCCTAGAAGGGAAAGGGAAGTGGCCAGCTGCTCTGGGAAGGAGACCACCCCATGAGCTTGTAAAATAAGCATGTGCAATTCCCTCTTTCTGTCCGCCTCATGGTGTTACTTGTCTTACCACCTGCCTAGTCCTCCTCCCCAAATCTGTTCCATACATAATTAATGACTGCAACAGCGGGTTCTGTTCATGTAATTGAAGACACCTCTTGGCAGCTTTGAAACTCTCGTGTCGTTCTTGGCTTCACAAGCAAAGCTGCTCCCCTTGTGTCTACAAGTGTGGCTCCAGACCGTTCACATCTGCGCATCTTCAAATTAGGATACATGAGTGATTGTGGCCACCAGGAATGTCTCAGCTGTTAACCCTCAGCAGTGTGCAGAAGGAAAGTCTGCTGATGTGGAATCTGGGGCAGGAGATGACCGGTAGGGTGGGAGGAAAGTAAAAGGATGGTAAAGGGCCAGATCAAATACAAAACACTCCACTACACATGGCAGAAGTATGTTGTCTTAGGTCCCTAGAAGCAGAGCTTGAGGAGGAGGTTCTTAGGAAAGTGACTTACTGAGGGAGTACTCTCGGGGAGTGAGGGAGAGAGGATAGGGCGGGGGAAGAAAGCTAGGGAAGGATGTGATCTCAGCCACACACCAGCATTCCCTGGTTCCACCATGAGCCCTGGAGTACAAATTGCATCCCAGCGTTGGACTCTCCCCGCCTGGCTTTTCTTAGAGACACTGTTTGGAATTTCCCCTGATGTCTCCACTTGGACCAAAGTAAGTCTCCCAAGAGAAAACCAACAGCTTCCAGTACTATGTGCACTTACTATTTATCATTTACTGAAGTCATTCATTCATTCATTCATTCATTCATTCATTTATTCAACAATACATATTATGATTGGATCTTCCCATGACCTTTGTATTTCTGGGTATTTGAAGAGACATTTTCTGTAAATTCTCAACTAGTGACTGAAAGCCAAAGGTTTTTGTGCTTCCTGAGTGCCAAGAAACCTCTGTTTTATTTTTGAGTATCCACTGGCCCTAGCTCGTCAGTGCCTCCAGACATATGCACCCCATTGAAATAAGTTTACGAATATTAGCAGGGTGGAAAACAAAGAGATCAGGAGAGCGTTGGCCACCTCAGGAAGGGGGAGAAGAAAGGAAAGGGTGAAAAAGTAAGAGAACAAAATCTCTGTGCAGGCTTCCCAAGCTTCCCACTGCTGTTCATGGACCACATTCAGGAGGAGAAAAGAGAGGAGACGAACTTTGTGAATGGATCCCACCCATCCAGCGTGGGTGATGGCAAATTCAGGCTCTGGATTGGCCCATCGAAGTCCAGACCACCCTGGAAGCTTGTTACTATGGAAGCTCCCACTCAACGCAAACAGGCTGTTTTCAGGATTTGGAAATCATTGTTTCACTTGGGCACGGCTTCTAAACTCATCACTGCACTTTGGATGATGGCAGATGTCACTACCCCATCTGTAAAATCGAGGCATCTAGTCACTTGATCTTTAAGCTGCTTTCCAGGGTGGAGAGCCTCTGTCTTCAGGACTCCCAACTCAAATGATTTGGAACAATTAATCAAGGCCTGCAGGGACCTATCTGCTGGCCTGTCAGGAAGCTCCTTCTGCATTTTCAGTCTTTGTCAACCCGTTGGATAGAGGGGTGACTGTATGCGGCCTTGGTTTTGGGGGAACTGACCAATGTTGAGAGAAACTGAAACTGTGTTGGAATCAAGACGTATGAACCACAAAAGGCTGGAAAAAGGTCTAAAACCTGAAAGATAAAATGCTGCATTCTTAGCTAAAAGTTAATAATTGGCTGGGTAGAGTGACTCATGCCTATAATCCCGGCACTTTGGGAGGCCGAGGCTGGCAGATCACTTGAGGTCAGGAGTTTAAGGCCAGCCTGGCCAACATGGTGAAACCCTGTCTCTACTAAAAACACAAAAATTAGCTGGGCATGGTGGTGTGTAGGTTGCAGTGAGCCAAGATGGCATCCCTGCATTCCAGCCTTGGTAGCAGAGCAAGACTCCTTCTCAAAAAAAAAAAAAAAAGCTAATAATTGCACAAATATGGGACAAGTAAACTACTTAGCCTATGAACAGTTTAAGTGAAAAGAGTTAGGAGTTTTAGTTCAGAATATAGTTACTTACAAGTTTAATAAATATGTGTGGGGTCTCAGGCACTGATCCAGAAGCTAGGGGCTAGGAACACAGCAGTGAATAACATGACATCATCCTCATACTGCTTGTATTCTACTATCATGATGTGATCCAATCCACAGTCCACAATACGCCATACAAATCAGTAGCTGTATGAGCTGGCAGTAAGAGGTGAGAGGAGAAGATAAAGCAGGGCAATGGGAACTGGGATGATGAGGTGCTGTGAGAGATGGGGGAGTCAGGGAAGACTTCTAGGAGCAAGTGTTTATACCATTAGCTGTTTGACATGGCTGCTCAAAAGGACTGAGATCCTAGGTCCTATGACTAATTAGTCTCATTTATTAGAACAACCTGCTTAGATGTCTCTACCTACCTGACTTCCTCTGGCAGCAGGCCCAGCCCCACAGGCCAGTTGAGGCTTTCAGGAAATTACCAAGCCAGCCTCTCTGACCTTGGCTTTAGGTCAGTCAGTGTGCATTTTTCTGTCTCTTGTGAGCTGTTGTCCATCGTAGGACCCCCATCACTGACCACACCCAACACCGCCACCACTCACCAACTGTGATCACCCTCGAATGCTTGGGGCTGGCTGGGTTTCCTCCAGCCCCCATGTGAGGCCCACCCGCAGTGCCCACCTGGCAACCCTCACTCACCCAACCGGATCTATCCCACTCTTTCCTTTCTTTCAGGTCCTCTGCTGGCATTGACTGCAAATAAGATTCAAAGGGAACATTTTCTGTTTTACTTTTGTTCATCTTCTTAACTTTGCACAGTGTGTGGCATAAATGCTAATTTTTCTAGGTGGGAGAAATTTTTCTCCCAAACTTCTTGCAATTTTATTAATAATGTAGCAAATGAGACAACATATTCTGAGGGTTTCGTCAATCCCAAGGAGGCGGTCTGGGCCTCTGAGCACCCGTGTTCTTCCTCTGGGTGACTCCAGTGCTCTCTCTCCAGCAGGTAGCTGCAGCACTGAAGAGCAGAGGGCAAGGGGAATTATGCATGAGCAGAGAGAGGAGACGCTGACCTTCTGTGTTTAAAGGTTAAAATGATTTCTTGGGAAATGGAACAAACTCACTAATCAGAGGCTGTTCTGAATTTTTCTGCAAAAATTAGACCCTGTGGCTCTCTTCACGTGCTCTGTTTGTGAGTATATATGTACATAGATCCAACAACTAAGTCAAGTTCAATCTCAATTTATTCAACATCTACTATGTTCCCAGTCCTGGGATGAGTTAGGCTAAAGAGAACACAAGGAAATAGATCAAAACCCTTGGTCATTGATAACTCCAATAACCAGAACACACAACCAGCCAGTGTTCACTTCACACTGCTTAAAAGCGATAAGGTAGTTATTCTTACTACAGGGATTTAATACAAGGCAAATGGGATCAGGGCATGTCATGGAGTCAATCCCCTTTCATAATCATGTGCTGGTGGGGAAGCAAAGCTCAGAGTGGAAGTCATGGGCATCATAGGATCTTAGCCTTTAGTCTGCATTGAAGAGGGGCAAGGGAATGGCTTAGGCCACAAAAGTCATCATTCATTCATTCATCCATTCATTCAGTAAACATGTGTGGAGTATGTTCTCTGTGTCCAGCATTCTAGTGGGTGCTTGAAGATTAATAAGTTAATGCAGCTTCTTCCTTCTAAAATATAAGCCCAATAAAGATAGAGACTTTTTCTATTTTATTCTCCACTATATTTCCAGGACTTAGGGCAGTATCTAGTATTTAGTAGAAACATAATGTTGTTTGATAAATGAATGAATGAACGAGTTCATAATCCAGGGGAAGGTAGACAGGAAAATAAATGTCATACATGTATTGCAGTTCTCTCTCTGTGTGTGTGTGTGTGTGTGTGTGTGTGTGCGCGTGCGTGCGTGCATGTGCACACAGTGGGGGCATAGAGAGAGCTTAGTTTTTCCTTCTCAAGTGGAAATAGGATATGAAAAAAGACTTCAGAGGCATAGCAGGCAGGATTCTTAGTATCAAACAACAGAAATTAACTTGGCTAGATTAAGAAGAAAAATATGAATTTATTAAAATACCGAGAGATCACAGAATCTCTAGGAGTGCAGAAGCCCCAGGCTCGGTGCTATGGATGCATGAACCATGTTGAAAATTGCACCTCAGACTGTGCAGTCTAGAGGAGGTAGTGTTGCCTTTGCTGGACACAGCAATCAGGGCTTTCACCACTGAAACCACAGTGCTGGGCCCTGGAAATACCCCTAGAGTTTGACATCACCGCCTCCGCACACACCAGAATGGGTTCTGGGCTGTGCTTCTTTCTCCATGCTTCTAGCCTCAGATTCAGAATCTGACTTGGGTTTATCTGACTGGAGAAACTTAGGTCACTTTAGGCAACATGCACCTTGCAACAGAGGCTGGGATCATGAATATCTGGTGGTTGTTCTCTTGCCAAAAATCTTGTGAGGTGAAGAACTTGTGAAAAATGGAGTGGCATCCAAAGCTGTTAGGTGGCCGAAGAGAAAGAGAAATAATTGTCACAATAGGATAGATGATTCTAGTTGGCAGGAGGTAAAGTTGGAGACATGGTGGGGGCAGATCATGCAGAGCTGAAAGGTTCAGATTCTTAACCATAAACATTTGGGAGCCACCTATGGGTTTTGGGCAGGGGAGTGACTTGATTAGATTTGCATTTTAGAGTGATGACCCTGAAGGCAGAGTGAGGAGGCTGGGTGCGAAGGCCTGGGGCTGGAGGCAGGATGACTGGCTGTTGGGGAAGAGGGAACAGAAGGAGATGGTTCTAGTATGAGCTGATGAGGGCCTGAAGTAGGCAGCGGCAATGGAGGTGGAGGGGATGGGGCAGTAGGAGGGTGGTCATGGGGAGGAAGCCATGGGACTTGTGAAGGAGAAGCTGGCAGGAATGTCCCCAAGGTTTCTGGCCTGGGTGGATGGGGAGGGTGATGATGGCTGTCATTGAGAGAGGCAGTGAGGAAAGGGGTCTAGTAGAGAGTGAGACTGAAGATGCAGGTGACAGAATGCCTGGAAGGGAATGTTCTTAGCGGAGAGGGGATCTGAAAGCAGAGGGGAGGGTTGGCCTTTTCCTCAGAGGCCAGAGAGAAGAAGATGAAGCAAGGTGTCTTTGTCAATGCATTTTGAGACACGGGTTCTTAGGGAGTGCATGCCCAAAGGACTCACATTTTCCAAGTTCCTTCCACCCCAGCCCAGCCTCCCTCCACCATCTGTGTGGACAGCCTCCCTTTCTTCTTCCTCTAGCTCAAGGGTCAGCAAACTTTCTTAAAGGGCCAGGTGGAACGTATTTTTGGCTTCGTGGGCTGGAAGGTCTTTGTCCTGCCCACTCAACTCTGCTGTTGTAGAGTGAAAGCAGCCACAGACAATCTGTGAATGAAAAGGTGAGGCTGTGTTGCAATAGACTTTATTAGAACTAGCTTGGCCGTATGAAGTTTGCCGACCCTGGTCTGGCCGGTTTCTGCTCCTTCTGACCCTCTGGTGCGCGCTTCTGTTGCACTTTGCACTTTGTCCTTTTTCTTCGCACTCATCTCACTCTAATGAATTATTTGTCCAATTATGTGTTTAGCGTCAGCTCCAGTGGTGGTGGCGAGGCAGGGGCCATGCATGTCTTGTCGTGGAGGATTCCCAGAGCTAACATGAATAGGAACTAGCATGTATCTTGTACTCCCTGTGGGCCAGGTATTACTCTAAGTGTGTTTTATTATCAATCCATTCAAACTGCCCAGGATCTCCAGTAGGTGGATTCTGCCCTTATTCCCACTTTACAGATGAGGAAGCAGAGGCTGAGAAAGACTTGAAATTACACAACTGGAAAATGGAGGGACTGAGACTTGTACTCAGTCTGGCTCTCCTGAGTGACTCTTTGTGACACAATTTTGACTCTTGATAAGTCGCTGGCGAAAAGTGAGCCAAGTAAATTAGACATTGTGTTCCTGACCTAGTAGGAAAGGGAGCCAGCCGGCTAAGGTAGGATAACGGAAACCCGGCGGTGTCACTGTGGGAAAGGGCGTGGAGTGTCTGCAGCAGGTGGCGGCCTTCCTCTGTGTCCCGGTTAGCCTACAGGGCTTGCCTGGGTGTTACTCTACAGCTGGGCTTTCCTCTGGACATGTGCTGCAGCCTGTGGTAGGGCAAGGGCAGGCTGAGGTGTGGGTTGCAGGTTGGGGGTTCCCTCAGAGGTTCTCTGGGATCAGAGCAGCCTCCTGTGGTAGTGTGAGCTGGGATCAACAGCCTTCAGATCAGGCTCTGGTTTGGCACTTTCTAACCTTATGACATGGTCATATGGCCTTATTTGGGCCTTGATTTTCTTATTTACAAAATGAGAAGATGATGCCCTATGCTGCAGTGTTGTGTTAGCAATCAGAGCAAATTAATCTGAAGTGCTGCCCTGCCACGGAAGCTCAGCAAATTGGCCCCGCTCTCTTATTCGAGAAGCTTTTGCCCATGGGGCTCCATGAGAACAATATCTGGTCCAGGATATTTAAGACATGCCTGGAGATGCTACACCTCCTCCTGTTTCACTGTGTGCTATGCGCCCCTCCCCGCCTGACCCCAGCAAGTGTTCTCAGCTCCAACCAGGCAGTACTTAGCACACACTACTCCCTGCCTGCTGTGTGCTTTGAGCCCATTTTTGTGTTGTCCTGAGGTGTGCGTCTGAGTGTGTGTTGGGAGAAGAGTCCATACCATGTGCCGTTGTGTAGAAGCGAGCACATTTCTGGTGTGTCTGCTGATGTGAATTTATATGTGTATATACGCCTTTATATATATGTATGTAGCACTCAAATGACAAACTTCAGTGGCTGAAATGAGTTTCTTGTAAGATGTTGTTGATAATGAA
Source organism: Homo sapiens (assembly GCF_000001405.40). Taxonomy (NCBI): domain Eukaryota; kingdom Metazoa; phylum Chordata; class Mammalia; order Primates; family Hominidae; genus Homo; species Homo sapiens. The sequence goes on along the minus strand of NC_000002.12, from coordinate 23,117,727 downwards.
AAATAAAAAGGCAACTGTGGAACCAAGTTGATTAATTCTTTGGAGTGTAGGGATCATGATGTTTAACAAACCCAGGAGCCAAATGGGTTGTAAATAACTAAAAGAACAGCTGGTCGGGTGCGGTGGCTCACGCCTGTAATCCCAGCACTTTGGGAGGCTGAGGTGGGTGGATCACCTGAGGTCAGGAGTTCGAGAGCAGCCTGACCAATATGGTGAAACCCTGTCTCTACTAAAAATTCAAAAAATTAGCCAGGTGCAGTAGTGTGCACCTGTAGTCCCAGTTACTCAGGAGGCTGAGACAGAAGAATTGCTTAAACCTGGGAGGCGGAGGTTGCAGTGAGCTGAGATCGCACCACTGTAATCCAGCCTGGGTGACAGAGCAAGACTCTGTCTCCAAAAAAAAAAAAAAAAAAAAAACAAACAAGAACAGATCAGATATAAAAACTACACACACACACACACACACACACACACACACACACACACATATAACCAATTGTGCAAGTCTAGAAGAGAAGAGGCTGAATTACTGTTAGGGGGAAGAAGCTCAAGAAGTTTCGCTGTCTGCAATCTCAATCTGACTGAAAGACTGTAGGGTTGGGGCGAACTTTTGTCTCCTCCCCTTCCTCCTGGGCTTCCTCCACGCAGGCCAATACAGCAATGCTGAAGTTATATAATTCCTGACATGGTGCTTTCCTTCCTAGATCATTTTCCCTTGACAGAGAAATGGTTTTGTGCCCGCAGTTCCAAAGTAATACATCTCTAATGAAACATTTTCAGTCCCAGTGAAAGCCATGGAGTCCCAAAATCAACAATGTAATTGTTGACTGCATTAGTAAAGGTGCATGTTCAGACCTTGGAAGGGACAGTCCTTCTGTCCTCTGCACTGGTCAAGCCCATCTAGAAAGTGACACTCAGCTCTGGGTGGCACAGAAATACATTGTTCAACTTGGGTGTATGAAAAGGAGTCAAGGAAATCAAGAAGACACATGTTGGGAGACAATTCTCCAGGCGTCTCCTGCATTTGTGCTCATCTTTTGAACAAGAGGCATTGCTTTGTTGTGGACCAGCTTTTCAAAGATATAATATATCTGCAACAGCTTTTGAAGATGGGGACAGAGTATCACTCTAGGAGAAAATGGCAGATTTGTTTCATGACCAGGATAATAAAGATGATGTCTCCCTCTTGGAAAATGATGGGCAAGCTTTCTAGCAGCTCCCTTATAATATTGGGGGTCTCTTGAGCTCAGGTTTCCTCAGCTGTGTCATAAACTCACTGGATTCACAGAATTTACCTTGGCCTACCTCCACCTTGCCTACTTTGGGATTTGGAGAGCAAGAAGAACTGATGCAAACATGAAGCTCATGCTTCTTTCTGTGCCATGAGTAACAAAGACCTTTTTCTTTGACCCAGGAGTCTCGTGTCTTTGGCCAGCATCTATGAAATGAAAAGGCTGACTTGTTAGCTTGAAAACAGGGTGAAATCTTAGATGTTCGCAATTCTTGACAATGAGAAGCATCAGAATATGCCATGATGAATTGATGGAAGCGATGAGAAAAGAGTCACAGAACAGTCGGGACTGTTAGGCTTCTGTGTAACCCCAGAGAACAGCACTAGAACTATTGGATAGAAATTTCATGGTGAATGATTTGGTAGAACTCAAGGGAATACTATACAATATGTAGAGTTGTGTGGCAGAATCTTGGGATGTTTTGTGGGTAGTGAGAACTCATCAGTACTTGCTGGAGATCCTTTAGAAAGGAATGTTTGGTGACTTAGAGTGAAATAAATAACCCCTGAGACCCTTAGTGTTATGCTGTTTTGAAAATTGATGAAATTCCTACTGTTTGGAAATTCATCAGCTGAGAGACACCCTTCTGGACCATTGGTTTCAGCTGAAGATGCTCTAGG